>NC_000002.12:187489618-187792648 GCF_000001405.40 Homo sapiens
CCTGATTTACCTATTGACAATAGTCATAAGATGGGAATATATAAATGCTTGATTAATACAATTTTTAAAAGAACATCTATTTTGTTTGTTTACTGTTACATTGTAAATAGGATTAATTCAGGTAATATACATGCCAATTAACTCAATGTGGTTTAGCACACTAGAATTTTAAGTGTATTTATATTACCAATAATTGTCTTTGAGGACTAATAATAATAACCTTGGACACGATAATTTGTATGGCAATAGCAGTATGAAAGCGATTAATAGTTAGAAAAGATTTACAGCAAATTATCAAGTTTTCTTAGATTTAGACAGGACGAAGCATTTATCAATGCTTTTTAAGGAGCAATGAGAGAATGTTAGACTAATTTCCATTCTAGTACTCTTTTGAATTTCAATTTATATGAATTTGTTTTAATATTTCATTATGAATATTAAGATGTAAGACTGACAAGCAAAAATATCCCAAAATTTGCATTTGGTTGACACACATTGGCATATGATATTTATACCTCAAACTGACTTATTTATTTTTGCTTCTAAATCCATTCAAAAGTGTGCCAGATGTAAATAATGATATTTTCTTCTGGGTGTGCAAGGAGAGTGTTAGATAAATACCAATTGTGTGAAGTTGGTAGAGAGTGTTGTTCAAATCTTTTATATCCTTAGTGATTGTTGTTTACTTTTTCTGTCAGTTACTGAAAAAAGGTGTCTTGAAGTATGTAAACTGAACTGAATAATTGTATACTCTCACTTCTGCCAACTTTTTCTTTAAAAATTTTGGAGTTTTGTAATTAGGACCATGCACATAGGAATTAAGGATTGTTGTGTCTTTTTTATTAATGGACCCCCATTATAAATATCTTTCTTTCCACCAGGTAGTATTTTTTATCCTGTAGTCTACTTTTACTAATCATTCTTATGATTAGTGCTTACATATTATATCTTTTTCTATCCTTTCACTTTTAATCTCTCTGTCCTTATTTTTAAAGGGCCTTTCCTATAGACAACATGTAGTTAGTTCTTGATTTATTTTTGCATACAGAGTGATAATATCTACCTTTTAACTGGCGTGACTGGACCATTAAATTTTAATTTAATCTAATTATCATTAAAGTTGAGTATAAATATCACTAGCAATTTGATTTCTGTTTCTCATTTCTTCTTTGTTTCTGTTTCCCTCTGTTCATGTCTTCTTTAGAATTACTGTAATTGAATATTTTAATAATAATTTCATCTTCATTATGGGCCTATTTGTTATTTCTGCTTGTTTCATTTTTTTAATGGTTGCTTTAAGGATTATAATGTACTAATCCATTACAGTCTAGTGCCAAGTAATGTATGTCATTGTCACCTGTAGAAACCTCAGAACTTTACAACAATAATCTCATATTTTTCTCCTTCCTTCCTGTGTGCTTTAATTCTAAATCCTTTAATACTAATTGTACTGCTGCTCTACCAGGAATAAATTTCCCCAGATAATGCTGATTTGAAAAGCCCTTATTTTAAGAAGTAGATTACTGATTGGCACTTTTTTTCTCTTTCAGTTCTTTGTTTTTTCTTTTTAAAAATTTATTTCTTTTTTATTTTCATAGATTTAGGGGCTAGAAGTACGATTTTGTTATGTGGTTATATTGCATAGTGGTGAAGTGGATTTTAGTGTAACCATAACCCAAATAGTGTCCATTGTACCCATTAGATAGTTTCTCATTCCCCAGTTCCCTTTCATCCTCCCATCTTCCTGAGTGTCCATTGTCTATTATTCTACTATGCCCACATGTATGCACTATTTACCCCCCACTTATAAATTAGAACATGTGGTATTTGAATTTCTGTTTCTGAGTTATTTCACTTAAGATAATAGCCTCCAGTTCCATCCATGCTGCTATAAAAGACATGATTTTATTTTTAATGGCTGAGTAGTACTCCATGGAGTATATGTGTATATATAAATATCACATTTTATTTACCCAATCATCTGTTAATAGACACTTACGTTGATTTTATATCTTTGCTACTGTAAATAGTGCTGTGCTAAACATACAAGTACAGTTATCTTTCTGATATAATGATGTATTTGCTTTTGGGTAGACAGCCAGTAGTGGGATTGCTGGAACAAATGGTAGTTCTATTTTTTAGGTCTTTGGGAAATCTCCATACTGTTTTCCATACAGGTTATACTAATTTACATTTCCAGCAACAATTTATAAGCATTCTTTTTTCTCCTAATCTTCAACATCTGTTATTTTTTGACTTTTTAATAGTAGCCATTCTGACTGGTATAATATGGTATCTCATTGTGGTTTTAATTTGCATTTGTCTGATGATTAGTGATTTTCAGCATTTTTTCATATGCTTGTTGGTTGTGTATATGTTTCTTTTGAAAAATACCTTTTCATGTCCTTTGTCCATTTTTTAAATGGTTTGTTATTTTCTTGTTGAATTGTTTGAGTTACATGTACATTTTAGATATTAGTCTTTTGTCCAATACACAGTTTGCAAATATTTTTCTCATTCCTTAGGTTATCTGTTCACTCTGATACTTCTTTGGCTGTGCAGAACATTTTTAATTTAAGTTACTTGTGGATCAACTTCAATTTAACTCTCATTTGGCTATTTTTGTTTCTCTTGCATTTGCTTTTGAGGATTTAGTCATAAATTCTTTGCCTAGGTCAATATGTAGGAGGGTTTTTCCCAGATTTTCCTCTAGAATTATTATAGTTTCAGGTTTTACATTTAAGTCATTAATCTATTTTGAGTTCATTTTTGTATAAGGCAAGAGACATTATTCCAGTTTTATTCTTCTGCATATGATTATCCAATTTCTCAACACCATTTATTGAATAGAGTGCCCATTCACCACTGTGTGTTTTTGTTGATTTTGTCAAAGAACAGTTGGCTGTAAATAAGTGTTACAACCAGGAGGGAGGCTGTACCCTGCAAAGTCACAAGGGCAGAGCTGCCCAAGACCATGGGAGCCCACCTCTTGCATCAGCGTGACCTGGATATGAGACATGGAGTCAAAGGAGATCATTTTGGAGCTTTAGGATTTGACTGCCCTGCTGGATTTTGGACTTCCATGGGGCCTGTAGACCCTTTGTTTTGGCCAGTTTCTCCCATTTGGAACAGCTGTATTTACCCAATGCCTGTACCCCCATTGTATCTAGGAAGTAACTAACTTGCTTTTGATTTTACAAGCTCCTAGGCAGAAGGGACTTGCCTTGTCTCAGATGAGACATTGGACTGTGGACTTCTGAGTTAATGCTGAAATGAGTTAAGAATTTGGGGGACTATTGGGAAGGCATGATCAGTTTTGAAATGTGCAAGTGCATGGTGCAAGCTGTCAATGGATCTACCATTCTGTGGCCTGGAGTATGGTGGCTTTCTTCTCACAGCTCCACTAGGCAGTGCCCCAGTAGGGAATCTGTGTCGGGGGTCTGACTCTACATTTCCCTTCTGCACTGCTCTAGCAGAGGTTCTCCATGAGAGCCCCACCCATGCAGCAAACTTTTATCTGCGCATCCAGGCATTTCCATACATCTTCTGAAATCTAGATGTAGGTTCCCAAACCTCAATTCTTGACTTCGGTATACTCTCAGGCTCAATACCATGTGGAAGTTGCCAAGGCTCGAGGCTTGCACCCTCTGAAGCTCTGGCCCTAGCTCTACGTTGACCCCTTTCAATCATGGCTGGAGTGGCTGGGACACAGGGCACGAAGTCCCTAGACTGCACACAGCATGAGGACCCTGGGCCGGGTCCAGGAAACCACTTTTTCCTCCTAAGCCTCCAGGCCTGTGATGGGAAGAGCTGGCACAAATGTCTCACATGCCCTAGAGATATTTTCCCCATTTTCCTGGTGATTAACATTCAGATCCTTGTTACTTATGCAAATTTCTGCAGCTGGCTTGAATTTTTCCTCAGAGAATGTAATTTTCTTTTCACTTGCATTGTCAAGCTGCAAATTTTCCATACTTTTATGCTCTGTTTCTCTTTTGAAACTGAATGCCTTTAACAGCACCTAAACCCCCCTTGAATGCTTTGGTGCTTAGAAATTTATTCTGTCAATTACTCTACATCATTTCTTCAAGTTCAACATTCCACGAATCTCTAGGGCAGGGGCAAAATGCTGCCAGTCTCTTTGCTAAAACATAATGAGAGTCAGCTTTGCTCAACTTCCCAAAAAGTTCCTCATCTCTATCTGAGACCACCTCAGGCTGGACCTTATCGTTCATATCACTATCAGCATTTTTGTCAAAGCCTTTCAACAAGTCTCTTGGAAGTTCCAAACTTTCCAACATTTTCCTGTCTTCTTCTGAGCCCTCCAAACTGTTGCAACCTCTGCCTGTTACCCAGTTCCAAAGTCACTTCCACATTTTCAGGTATCTTTCCAGCAACACCCCATTCTACTGGTACCAATTTACTGTGAGCAAGTCACATCTTACATGGATAGCGGCAGGCAAAGAGAGAGCTTATGCAGAGAAACTCCTGTTTGTTAAAACCATAAGATCATGTGAGACCCATTCACTACCACGATAATAGCATGGGAAAGACCACCTTCCCCCCCGCCCCATCCCCCATGATTCAATCATTTCCCACCAGTCCCTCCCACAACATATGGGAATTATGGGAGCTACAAGATGATATTTGGGTAGGGACACAGAGTGAAACCATATAACACACATTGTTAGAAAAACCACAACCACTTCTGCTTTCTAATCTCTAATAGCCATCTCCTCTTTTCAGAGAGACCACCATGCTGTACTTGGGTTTCTTTCATGTAATGGTGGTTCTGAATGCCTTCACACAGGAAGCAGGGGAGACTGCAGGGCTCATCTTATGTATTTACCTTCTCCCAGAGGTCACAATCCTGCACTGCCTTTTGTTCAATGCTTGCAAACAGTAGTTTTTTACATTTTGTCCAGTTTTATAGTTCTTTATGTTGGGGAGAGAAAGTCTTGTTCTATTTATCCATCATGGCTGCCGATTAAATTCTCTCCTTAGGTGCGTTTTTAAAAGTCTAGCCATATTTTTTCCATATACCAGTTATATCCTTATCAGTAGTCTGCTGTATAAAACACTCAGACATTCATACAATAATTGCAAGTGACTTTTCTTTTTTTTTCATGGAGTCTTCCTCTGTTGCACAGCTAGAGTGCAGTGGTGCAATCTTGGCTCACTGCAACGTCTGGCTCCTGGTTTTAAGCAATTCTCCTGTCTCAGCCTCCTGAGTAGCTGGGACTACAGGCACATGCCACCATACCCAGCTAATTTTTGTATTTTTAGTAGGGACGGAGTTTCACCATATTGGTGAGGCTGGTCTAAAATTCCTGACCTTAGGTGATCCACCCACCTCAGCCTCCCAAAGTGCTGGGATTACAGGTGTGAGCCACTGCACCCAGCCTCAAGTGAATTTTGATAGATAATGAGGAGATGGGGGTAAGAGAGTTACATTTACATGCTAGCCAGAAATGATATTTTAAATGATGATAAGCAAGGCTATCACTGATGAGCAAAATGATTACATTTCCCTAACCTTTAAAGAAAAGAGTAAGTTTTGCACAATGATAAACCATAAGACTTGAACTATACACATATATAAAAAGAACAGGTATATATTTCAGGAAAGAGGCCAGTTGATGAAAATAAATAGCCTGCTAAATGAAAGAGTGGGGATTACAAAGAATGAGGCAACCAGGCTTCTAGCCAAGGTACTGACAACTAAGAATGATTTTCAACTCAACACAAAAGGATACTTGGCCCAATATGTATGGAAGAAAATGGGGTATAGAAATCTGTGATGAATGGGAAAAGACCAAGCAATCACAAAAACCAAAAGCACCACTGAGGACCACTGAGCTGCCTAAACTGTGTTAGTAACATTCCTAGGGCATCTATGGAGAGGAAACAGAGAAATCAGTGCTGTGAGGTTAAAGAAATATATTCGTGTCTATTCTCTTCTTTCAGCTTGGGAGCATACAACTAAACATCTTACAGAGCCACAGAGGAGAGAAGTTCACTCTTTTCACCACATGGAAGTTTTCCCACAGGCCAAGAGCACCATGATGCCAAGGCTGTTTAGTAAAAGCTATTTAGAAAGCAGTAACAGAGTGAGAATGCAGAGCTGCCTGATTTGCAAAAAACAAGACATCTAGTGTTACTAACCAGAGATATCATTTCTGTATCACCTCAATTGTATCCAACCAGCTCTACGAACATGCTATGGTAGAATATTGGTCTAGAAACTAGGGAAATAAAAGCAACTCAACTTATTCTATCCCTTGAGTAACTTACAATTTGGAAGAATAGCCTGACATTAAAAAAAAAACATTCAAAATTTTGGTCAGTAATTATTTGTAATTTATCTTAGTGAGAAGATATAAAATCCCATACAATAAAGTAATTAGCAAAATTTGCAAAAATGTTAAATTTTAGTAGGATTAATGCAGAGTAAAAGTTTAATATAATATGACGTACTTTTGAAATTTATAACTTAGTAATATTAATATAAAACATTGGGTTTAGTAAAGTCCACAAGGGTCATCAGGGATGATTTTTCTTTTCTATGGTATTCTATTTTTATTTCCTGTAGTATTTTAAGGTTCCAATAATAAAAAAATCTTAAATTTCATATATAGTTCTACTATTTTATGCAGCTTACAATTTTGTAATTAAGAGCCATAGAGCTTCAATTTCCAGATTCATGATCTTGAGAGAGTATAGCGATGAGACCATTGTGTTGACAAAGGAAAGACTAAGTCAATGTGACTAACAGTTTTTCTTCTGCCAACTGAGATTACAAGTCTGGGAGGCCGAATTACACCCACTTTATTTTAAAAATACTTCACAATTCTTTGAACATGAGTTGAGGTTTTTTTCTTCTGTCTTTATTATGGATAAGAGTATAAGACAATAAATGGGGCCTCATATTTTATAATTCACTGATATGAAGAAAATGAAAAATGATAGTTGAACATGCAAGTTGACCGTACCTAAAATTTGATAATTTGCTTTAAAATGTCTCTCGGGCATATAGAGAGTTTCTGGTACCTATAAATGTGGGTATTTCATGGTACAATTCAGAATTATCATTTTCCTTAAATGTTTTTAGGATTCCCTGAAAGTCTAAAAATGTGGAAATAAAAGATTCCTTGGAAATATTAAAACAGCATGAAATTACTTTTCTCCCTAAATTATCAAATCCATAATTAGACTCAATAGCCCTAAAGGGTCTTGAGTAATAAGGGTTCCCAGAAACCTACCTCTTGTACACATTTTTTTGCACTCTTCCAGACTTTCAAATCGATTCTGATTTCCTTCACATCCCCCATATATAAATTCTTCGCACTGTCGAGTGAAAATATTGAAGAAAAATCTTTTCATGATTGCTTTACATGGGCCATCATCCGCCTTGAATGCACAAAATGAATGCATAAGTTTCAGTGGTGGCAACTCCGTATCTATAAAGTAAAAATAAAAGATATAACATGTAATCTCCATCAACACTGTAATAATGTTCTTTATTTCCTTTTTAATATGTCCTGATTTTAAGGAAAAGTACAATAAAACATACTAAGAAACTATAAAAAGTTATTCAGTTATCAAAATGGTAGATAAAGTTAATAAATTCACCAAATGAAACACAACTTCTAGACTCTTGTTAGGGAGGTATTGCTTAAATCGTACCAACCGAACTGGGAGGGAATTGAGTAGTAGTTGTAAGGCAACTTCATTCAAGTGGATGTGTCCACAATAGACCTCTTTTAACTCAGCTAATGGACAGTTCTTTGAATTTCTCTCCCTAACCCACACTTGTGTCACTTTTTACACATAAAACAACCCTTTAAAAGCAACAGCATATTCACATTCACATATATATATACACACACATATGTATATAACACTATATTAAACCATTTTCCCTAATTATAAAAATTTATGTGTTTGATGTTCTGAAAAATATACTTCATGGTGCTTTTTATTTTAACTTACCATACCATGCTTGGGTTTTAATAATGTTGAAATAATGTAAATAATGCTTTCTATGTTTTAAATAGAATGAGGCAATTCTTTTGACTTCACGTTATATATTTTTTCTTTAAATATTTAACTCCTAATTTTCATAACAGAATTTTCTATCCTGGGAATGGACATAGAAATAGGGGAAACTCAACTAGATTTTTTAAACATTTTATTTTTTTCAAGTCCAATAAAATTAATAGAAGCCTAATGTTAAGTAAAGTCTATTTGTTTACCAGTAAAGATAGACACTGAAAATTGTGGGTGGTGCAACCAAAAGAATAATGACAAAAATGCCATATAATACTTCTTGAATATTTTCTGCATATTGAGTCTATGTATTTTCTATGTCTTTGGCAATTGATTTATTAATCTCTTATGGGGAATATTGAAACCTATAAATGACCGAAACCAATTTTGCCTCTAGAGGGCAGCAGTATTATATTGAATTAAACAGATGAGTATAAATATCTTGAAAAAAAGTGTTTTCATGCATTCTAAAATAGTTTACTTTGAACAACAACAAAAAAAGAATGAGACTTTAATATTTTCACATAAAATATTTTTAAAGCATAAAATACAGGATAAGTTTTTGGAGTATGATTGTCTCAAAAGAAATCAGTTTTAAATTTCCTGTAATTTCAAAATGTGAATTTTTTGAAACAGAAAATATGTGTGTAATAAAAGTTAAATTAGATAATTTTATTAATTGCACTCCACCCATAATATATTATTATTCTAATAATCAATTTTGAATTAATAGCAAGTATTAGTCTTATTTTAGTAATGTTAAAACTTTTTGTAACAAAATGATTGAAATGATATTGTTAATTTTTTATATGAGTCATAAAATTGTAAGTAGCCTTTACAATCTTGGAAGGATTAAAGATACAGCTTTCTATACATAAGTTGGCATTTTCATGCTGTTTGATTCATGTGACACTAATTATTTTTGAACACGTAAATTTTATCTCAACTACTAACACTGCTTTCAATTTTTAAAAATACTAGTTAAATTTACATAATACCATCTCATTATTTTGATCTATTTGATAAGTTAATTGATTATTTTTTTCAATTGAAATAAATTGAGCTGACAGAACTGATAGAAGAGTATGTTTTTCAGGTCCAGAATTTGTTAACTTAGAATAACATATGACAGAGAATTATTATGATACGGGGATAGTTTCAGCACCAAACACAATTGTCATAAAATAGCTAATTAGCAAGTAAGAATGTTGATCAAATCTTTAACTAAAGTTGAGTTTTATGCACATATGCATTTGTGTGTCTTCAAATTTTTCTGGAGTTATATTCAATTGACAAAATATAATGTTTGTGTTTACCAACATGATTTTTAAAATAATTTTAAACCAATAACAGTGTCACTAAATCCAATAAATATCTATAGTATATATACAAATAATTGTATCAAAGTGAGTTAAGAAATATTGGTGAACATTGACAAGTTTAAATGTCATTTCTTTTTTTTTTCAAATCCTTTATCTAACATTTCATGTTGATGAACATATCTAAAATACGATAATTTGCTTTAGAAGGTCTCTCAGGCATATAGAGAGTTTCTGGTACCTATAAATATGAGCACTTCATGGTAAAATTTTCCATTTTTCTTAAATTAGATACACAAGTACTTTTTAATAGAAATTCATAACAAATATAATTGAGGATTGCTAAAAATACTTTCTAAAAATCGAAAAATGTATGAACCAAAATGACTTGTTAAAACACATTTTCTCTATCACTGAAGTTATAATTGTCAGTTTTAAAAATCATTGAATTTTTTTTTCTGAGTGGCACATTTATGAATAATTGTAAATGCTGTTTATATCTTTTTGTCTTTACTTAAGGATTTTAGAATGCCAAGCTGACATTTTGAGTTTTTATGAGAAACCAGAAAATTTGGTGTGAAGACCCTAAGTGGTGTGTCTGACTTACAGCAGGCCCACAGTAAGTATCATCAAATTACGTATCGTGAGTTTCTGAACTCTAGACATGTTTGTTTTGAAACCAATAAAAATGTGACCTATCAGCTCCTTAAATATGGGACCCCAGAATTCACATAACAAAGCAGGAATAAAAATATTCTGGCATTTTTAATTTTACAGCTATATACCATTATCTCAAATTGCTGTAGAAATTCTCATATAATGTGATGTTATTCATTCCCAAGTTAACATGACTTTAGAACTTTAGAGACAAGTTATTGAGGTAGTGTTTCAGATAGAAAACTTGAATAAAGATCTGTATCTGCAGAACACAGGGAACTTTACCTAATACCTGCATTGCCATGTATATTCAGAAAAATCATTTTTCATAAATCAATAATTTTATCAGATACTAATTGATGATTTTTCTACTTTTTATTCTTAATATATTTGATAGTATTTATTATCAAGCTAAATCTTTTTTCCATTTTCTGCATTAAAGATATAATCACCTCTAGTTCAATCTGCTATTGAGTAATTTTGCCAGCAGGTGGTGGCAGTGCACCACAAAGGCAAAAGCTGATAAACTCGCTGTAGTAGTTGTACCTAGCAACAATAGCTAATGTTGCTCACTGAGTAATTACAATACCCTTGACATTTTTGTAATTGTACCCTTTAATGATCATAACCACCTACTGAGTTAGGCATTATTATCTTCATTTTATAAATTATAAAATAGCTTTCAGAAATTAAGTAAATAACTTAAATTCATACCATAAATGATGGGTTTAAAATTGATCCTCATATGGTTTTACAACAGCTATCTCACACATTCTTAATAACTACATGATATTGTCACAGACATGTGACTGAGATTCCTAAAGTAGCATTTGGATCAAGCATACGGTTTTAATTATATAATTTCCACTCAATCAACAACATTTTTTTTCAAACATTCACCTTTATGAAACTAAAAATGGTTTCAATAATGGAAGTAGGTGATAATTTTATAGAAATTTTCTAGGAGAAACACTAAGTATTAACTTTTATGAATTATATTTTGTTAATTATTAGGTGATTATTTGTCTTTATTCACACTTTAATGTATTTCTTATAGAAATCCTGTATTAGAATATTCTTTGTGCAGTGATCTTGCAGCCCACACCTAAGCACAGCATCCCTGGACTCAAGCAATGGCCAGGTGTGCTGTGTGACCCACAGTGCCATGCCACTTCACCCAAAAGGGATGGAAATCTGCCTCGGTTTTCATTTCTTATTTTGAATAAACCCTTTTGAATGTTAATAATTGGGTATTGACCATGCGTCAAGCACTGTGCTGTCACTACAGATATGACAGTAAATTAGATGACAGCAACCCCTCGTTCATGGAGCATATAGACACTAAGGACTTACATAAACATTCAGAAAGTCCTGGGTGCTGTGCGAGTGAACAGTAGGATACCTAAATTAGCCTGAAGGGGTCAGCGATAACTTTCCTGAGACTTGAAATTGAGACTTGAAGGAAATGTTTACAGAGGTAATAATTATCTGCCAGCGGCCATGAGAAAGCAAAACACATAGAGGGCAATCTAAAAGGAATTTAATCTGATCCAGTCATATAAATAGAATTATGGTTTATATTGAATCATTTGCCTTTGATGTCATGAATTTTATGTCTCATAGTCTAAAGGTTACAATCCTGCCTTCCCCTTCCCTCCCCCCGCCCCATGTCCTGGGATGTTGGATAGAAGCTTACTATAATATTTGCTGCCTGAAAACATATCATGCCCTTGACTGTAAGAATACTCATCCTCTTGGAACTTATTTGCAAATCTAGGGCTTTCAGGTAACTTACCATCTAAGAATCCACATGCTGCTAGACTCTAATTAAAGGATTTTATTTTATTTTATTTTATTTTCTGGCAGGGAAGAACAAACACATGTACCTTTTGCCTTCTCTGTGTCAGAAAATGTGCCAGATGCTTTTCCACTTTTTATATAAAAATCATAGGAAATTAGTTATTTACATTATTCATTTACAGCTTAGGACACTGGTAGTCAGAAAGTTTAACTTATTCAGTCTCACAAAGGTACTAGGTGGCAAACTACACCTGCAAACTCAGGTCTGTCTGATTCTAAATCCTACAAAAGATACTTGCCTTTCACTAAATGTTCACTCTTAATTTTCTCTCTCCTAGCCCAATGGAATTGTTTTAAAAAGCTTATCACTACTCTTTTTATTATCATTTTTGCCTTATCTAGACGTTAATTCTAGATTATCCTCCCTGCTGATTTGACTGTTAAAAAAATCATCTACTATTTGCTTGTGAGAGAAGCAATAAAATTTGATGTATTTTTCTATTAATAAGAGTACCTTATTTCAATTAAATAATATACTTCTATAAAATGATGTTATGATCTTAGCATCATGTGATAAATTGTATCTCCTAAATAGAATTTTTTCAGATGTGAGATAAGGTTATTATAAAAATTAATTTTAAACAAAAACAAAATAAAACTAGATAAAACTGCAACTAGTTGGTGAAGAGGTCTTTAAGTCTAGCTTAAATATCAAAATTCTTTGTTACCACCTAGGTTTGGAAGCTACCTTATAGTAATTTTAAATTCTGGCTTAATTACTGATAACTTAATTCTGGATTATTGATTGACAGTGGCAGCAGCCACAATTTCAGGAACTTCCTGGTTAACCAATATTCATTTTCTCAGTCCAGTTGAGGAAAATTGGACTGGGACAAATACAGGGAACACTTGGATCTATTTGCTTCTCACTTCCCACAAGTGAGATTGCCTGTTTTTTCCCTGTTAAGACTTATTTTATCCTCCACCTTCCTTGTTTCTGTAACCTCCAGAATGTTAGAATTTTAACCCACCACCTTTTGAGAAAAAAGCCGAATGAGGGATTGAAACTCATAATGTTCAAATTCTTATTTTCAAAAAGGTACATTAGGGTTTTTACTAAATAATGCTTCATCTCTAGGAAATTTTTATAACATGACTTCCCCTTGTGGAGCCCTCAGAGAGCCAAGCTTGATTGAATCTCCTTCCTCTTCCCATCAACAGCAGCACTCTCCATGCTTCTGTCACTTTGTGTACTACTTTATACGGAAATAAACTGTCCACCCTTCACACTCCCCTAGGAAACAGTGAGATTCTTGAGCACCTCATCTCAGCCATACCTGTTTCTCTAGCACCTTCCACAGATTCAGGCCCAGAAGATGTATTTATTCAAACTTTATTAAAGTACACTGAACACAGTCATTTTAAAAAGCTATTAAAGCTATCAAATAAGAATGCATTTATGGAAATCTTTTTTACATCTTAAACCACTATACAAAAATAAGCTATCATTTTGTTAATATTCTCTCATTAATACCAATGCTTGAGATTTCTGTCAACAATTTACTAATTTGCCACAAAATGTTACTTTAAGAAAGGTATATATCCACAATAACCATCACCATACAGTCTTCTCCTTGCTCTATTTTTTATTGTTAATATTCTCATTTTTAGACACAGAGTTTTATGGGATTAGATCTAACTTATATTACTAGATCCTTTGGTGTCCTGGTTGACTAGATTTTTATATTAGTCTCAACTGGGAAGTTTTGATTTTGGAAATATGGGGAAGAAAGAGAGAATAGCTGAAACCTCAGATGTCTGAAGTTCCCTTTCCTCCTCACACTTTTCCTAGCCAAAGGGTAGCATCAAATGTCATAGGGAGTTGTTTTTACAACATTTTGCTCCTTGCAATAGCCCGGAGCTACTCCAGTGTTTAATATTGTATGCTGAAAAAAAAGAGAGAAGTGTTTCAGCTAAAGTTACTTGGTTTCGGACTGTTTAAAACACACATGTGCATGTACACACACACACACACACACACACACACACACACACACATACATTAGGTATAATAAATTTCCAAAGAAAAATATCACTTCAATAACAACTAATTTCCCTCCACAATGGAAAACTATGGTAGATTTTTTAGATTAAAATTGAGAGCTTTAACTAGCTTAAAAAGATAATTGCTTCTAATATTTTACCTGTGATAATTGTGTGTTCTTCATCTTCCTCAGAATCAGCATTAAGAGGGGCAGGGGCAAGATTAAGCAGCAGGCATACAGAAGCCCAAAGTGCATGTACTTTCTTCATTGTGTAAATCATCTCTGAAATACAGAACCCATACATATCTAATAAATAAAGTGTTAATATGCACTCATTTACAGACTAGTAAACATCATATGTGTACCTCATATGCAAATTTCTATGCCATTTTATGTGTATACACATACATTTCTCTGTGCATACTCAATGAGTCATACTTAAAATGTATATGTAGTATTCAGAATTATGGGCAAACACATTCAGTGCATATATTTATTAATATTCAAGCAAACAGGTCATATTTCAACTTTGAAAATATAAATAAAAAGGACAGTAATTGAGAGACATGGGTAAACGCTGATCAATATGGCGAAGTATGTATTAAAGTCCATTTCCATGTGCAATTTTACTTTCCACATCTTTCGCACAGCTATTCTTTCTCAGTCAGAACCAATAATTATTTAGGCATTTTTCTATTATTTCTTTAATGCAACTTTTAATTCCTGATTTATCTTTCCCTCTGCTCTAGTTCTTCTTTTAAAAAGGAAACACATTTTCAGAATTTTCATCTTTGTTTCCTTTAAAAAATACATTATTTACATCAATTTCCTAACCAGGTTTTCTGTGAGATAGCAGACAGCCAAAACAGAGGACAAAAGAAGTGTCTGACATTCGAGTTAGTCCTCTTTCCCAGTTCATTATTCCGCAGTTTAGGGAGTTATCTGATTCAAAAAGTTTCACAGAAAAGTGACTCTAAGTGATAAGCCATCACTCTTACACTCTAAAGGAATCAGATTTCAATAGGAGAGTGAGACTTTTCCTGTTTCAACGTTGTTTAAAGATCTATCGCCAAAAAGGAAAAAAAAAAAAAAGAAAAGAAAGAAGTAAGTCACCTTTATTTTTTTAAAGACGACTTCTTCTTTGGATTTAAAGGTGGAAGGAAAAGTGTAATGATCATGCAACACAGAAAAATAAAAGAAGAGAACACTTGCTTCCTTCCTGTTCTCAGCCACCAGTGCCCTTCCAGTCAGGAAGGAAAGCGAGATCTTATCAGCAAACATTCACAAATGCAGGGACAGATACTCCATCAAAAACAATCTAGAGAATTATCTGGTTTTGTCTGTAGCAGATCACAGCTGCAATATACACCATTGTGGGTAGCCATATAATAATTAAGTAATAAATGTTATTATGCTTTAAGTTTCATTAAAATCACTAGTGAGATACATAACCTTTTTTTCTCACAACACTTTGCAAGTGTTAACATACATTTGATTTTTAGTCAGTAGAGATCTCATATATCTTGTAAATCATACCATAAACCATTTGAATTCACAAATATATATATATATTTATATAGATACATGATTTTGAAGAATCTTGAAACTAAACTTCTAATCCTTATCGCATTTTTGAACACGTTTTTCAGAGATTCATTTATTTCCATTTGATTCTTTGAAATATACTATCCTGCTATACTTTGAGTATAAAATACAGAGTGTACTCTGCATCACACAGTTCAGGAAGCAGGCTGAGGTTGGGGGCCTGCTGAAGCCCTTGAGAGAGAGGGCTCTAAATTCAGCAAGTTCCTGTCTTAAAAAATGGCAGCCTAGGGTATTGCCTAAACTTAGTACTTTAGACTTTCGTTGGGTGCTAGGATTAGAAACCAGCTCTGACAAATTTGGATCATCAGTTTATTTATTCTAGAATATGTGGAACAATCTGAGATGACAAGGGCAGGCTTGCATTAGTTCTCAGAAACAGCTAGAGCTGGTGAGCTGAGCACCACCAGGTATTTCTCATTGTGGCTACACTCCTTAGACAGCTTTATTTTCTCTCAGTGTGACCCAATCTTCTCTGCATAGCATGATGCATGAACAATGAACTGTCCTGGGTTTTAAACCTTAAGAGTTTTTCAATCAAAATAGTGTGACTACTTCTCTTTATGGTCCAGGCTTAAATAGCTTGAGACTAGCTCTGATAGTTTTAGCATGAAACAAGGGACACCTTTTGGACCAATCCATTTGAGTTGGGAATTGTAGGAGACCATCATAGATTTGGTGGACCCAAAACCAGTCTGGGGTCAGGAATAAGAAAATGTAATAGCATGGCAAATATTAATGGAACCATATGGTTTGGGTGGTGGAAACGGACAAGTGTAACTCCCAGAAGGAGGAAATTGTTGCTTTCAGAAGGGAAGGGTGTTAGACAGATAAATGACTATATGACTATATGACTATATACCACAGCAAGCCATAGCTAAATAGTAGCGTATGTAATTTTTTTTTTAAAAAAAAGAAAAGCAAAAGGCAAATAAAGTACATGAATTGCAGGAGGAATCAAATATCTAAATTTTTACTCAAAAATGCTGTCTGGTTCTGGGTGATAACAGATTTAATGTAGGGATGAATCCATGCACCAACTTCTATATACCATGCAAAATCTTTTTCCTTTTGGAAAAATCCAGCTTTCTTAAAATTAGAAAACAGAGATTTATAAAACACCATTTGCAGATCTCCTCCCCCCATAGTTCAGCAGAGAATTTGCTGTAAACATCTGCTTGATAAGCCCATAATCCTGGCTTTCTAATAGAAACATCTTCTTTTAAAAAAATTGACCCCATTATTTAAAATAGTTTTAGATTTAAAAAAAAATAGAGAAGAATGTACAGAGACTTCTCATACACCTCACACCCAGTTTCCCTATTAACATGTTACGTTAGTATGGTGCACTTATCGTTAATATACCAAAATTGATACATTGTTACTAACTAAAGTCCATATGTTAATCAAATATCCTTATCTTTTCCCCAGCACGTTTCTGTTCTAGCAACCCATCCAGAATACCAAATTGCTCTAGTTGTCATCTCTCCTTAAGTTCCCTTGGCTGTGACAGTTTCTCAGATTTTTCTTATTTTTGATGATCTTGACAGTTTTGAATAATACTGGTCAGGTATTTTGCAGGGTATCCCCTTAATAGAATTTATCTGATGTTTTTACTCATAATTAGACCAGGGTTATGGGGTTTGGGAAAGAAGATAACAGAGTTAAAGTGCCATTTTTGTCACATTATGACAAGGATACATACTACCAACATAATTTATGACTGCTGATATTGATCTTAAACACCTGACTGGGGTAATGATTGTTAGATTTCTCCACTATGAAGTTACTTTCTACCCCTACCTTTCCATACTGTTTATTTATTTATTTTTTTATACTTTAAGTTCTGGGATATATGTGCAGAACATGCAGGTTTGTTACATAGGTATGCACATGGCATGTTGGTTTGCTGCACCCATCAACCCATCATCTACATTAGGTATTTCTCCTAATGCTATCCCTCCCCTAGCCTCCCACCCCCTGACAGACCCCGGTATGTGATGTTCCCTTCCCTGTGTCCATGTGTTATCATTGCTCAACTTCCACTTATGAGTGAGAACATGTGGTGTTTGGTTTTCTGTTCCTGTGTTAGTTTGCTGAGAATGATGGTTTCCAGCTTCATCCATGTCTCTGCAAAGGACATGAACACATCCTTTTTTATGTCTGCATAGTATTCCATGGTGTATATGTGCCACATTTTCTTTATACAGTCTATCATTGATAGGCATTTGGGTGGGTTCCAAGTCTTTTCCATTGTGAATAGTGCCGTGACAAACGTGTGAAAGCGTCTTTATGTAGAATGATTTATACTGGGTCAAACGGTATTTCTGGTTCTAGATCCTTGAGGAATTGCCACACCACCTTCCACAATGGTTGAACTAATTTACACTCCCAACAACAGTATAAAAGAGTTTTTATTTCTCCAGCATCTGTTATTTCCTGACTTTTTAATGATCACCATTCTAACTGACCAGTGATGATGGGCTTTTTTTCATATGTTTGTTGGCTGAGTAAATGTCTTCTTTTGAGAAGTGCCTGTTAATATCCTTCGTCCACTTTTTGATGGGATTGTTTTTTTCTTGTACATTTGTTTAAGTTCTTTGTAGATCCTAGATATTAGCCTTCTGTCAGATGGATATATTGCAAAAATTTTCTCCCATTCTGTAGGTTGCCTGTTCACTCTGATGATTGTTTCTTTTGCTTTGCAGAAACTCTTTAGTTTAATTAGATCCCATTTGTCAATTTTGGCTTTTGTTGCCATTGCTTTTGGTGTTTTAGTCATGAAGTCTTTGCCCATACCTATGTCCTGAATGGTATTGCCTGGGTTTTCTTCTAGGGTTTTTATGGTTTTAGGTCTTATGTTTAAGTCTTTAATCCATCTTGAGTTAATTTTTGCATTAGGTGTAAAGAAGAGGTCCAGTTTCTGTTTTCTGCACATGGCTAGTCAGTTTTCCCAACATGATTTATTAAATAGGAAATCCTTTCCCCATTGCTTATATTTGTCAGGTTTGTCAAAGATCAGATGATTTTAGATGTGTGCTGTTATTTCTGAGGCCTCTGTTCTGTTCCATTGGTCTATATATCTGTTTTGCTACCTGTACCATGCTGTTTTGGTTACTGTAGCCTCATAGTATAGTTGGAAGTCAGGTAGCGTGATGCCTCCAGCTTTGCTCTTTTTGCTTAGGATTGCCTTGGCTATATGGGCTGTTTTTTGGTTCCATGTGAAGTTTAAAGTAGTTTGTTTTTTCTAATTTTGTGAAGAAAGTCAATGGTAGCTTAATTGGGATAGCATTGAATCTATAAATTGGGCAGTATGGCCATTTTTCAATATTGATTCTTCCTATCCATGAGCATGAAATGTTTTTCCATTTGTTTGTGTCCTCTTTTATTTCCTTGAGCAGTTGTTTCTAGATCTCCTTGAAGAGGTCCCTCACATCCCTTGTGAGTTTTATTCCTAGGTATTTTATTCTCTTTGTCGCAATTGTGAATGGGAGTTCACTCATGATTTTGCTCTCTGTTTGTCTGTTATTGGTGTATAGGAATGCTTGTGATTTTTGTATCCTGAGACTTTGCTGAAGTTGCTTATCAGCTTAAGGAGATTTGGGGCTGAGAAGACTGGTTTTTTAAATATAAAATCATGTCATCTGCAAACAGAGACAATTTGACTTCCTCTCTTCCTATTTGAATAAACTTTATTTCTTTCTCTTGCCTGAGTGCCCCGGCCAGAACTTCCAATACTATGTTGAGTAAGAGCGGTGAGAGAGGGCATCTTTGTCTTGTACTGGCTTTCAAAGGGAATGCTTCCAGGTTTTGCCCATTCCATATGATATTGGCTGTGAGTTTGTCATAAATAGTTATTATTATTTTGAGATACGTTCCATCAATACCTAGTTTATTGAGAATTTTTAGCATGAAGAGGTGTTGAATTTTATCGAGGGACTTTTCTGCATCTATCGAGATACTCATGAGGTTTTTGTCATTGGTTCTCTTTATGTGATAGATTAAGTTTATTGATTTGTGTATGTTGAACCAGGGTTGCATCCCAGGGATGAAGCCGACTTGATCGTGGTGGATAAGCTTTTTGAGGTACTGCTGGATTTGGTTTGCCAGTATTTTCTTGAGGATTTTCACATTAATGTTCATCAGGGATATTGGCCTGAAATGTTCTTTTTTGTTGTTGTGTGTCTTCCAGGTTTTGGTATCAGGATGATGCTGGCCTCATAAAATGAGTTAGGGAGGTGTCCCTCTTTTTCTGTTGTTTGGAATAGTTTCAGAAGGAATGGTACCATCTCCTCTTCATATCTCTGGTAGAATTCGGCTGTGAATCTGTCTGATCCTGGGCTTTTTTTGGTTGCTAGGCTATTAGTTACTGCCTCAATTTCAGAACTTGTTATTGGTCTATTCAGGGATTCAACTTCTTCCTGGTTTAGACTTGGGAGGGTGTATATGTCCAGGAACTTATCCATTTCTTCTAAATTTTCTAGTTTATTTGTGTAGAGGTGTTTATAGTATTCTCTGATGGTAGTCTATTTCTGTGGGATCAGTGGTGATATCCCCTTTATCATTTTTTATTGTGTCTATTTGCTTCTTCTCTTTTTTCTTCTTCATTAGTCTGGCTAGCAATCTATCTATTTGCTGATCTTTTCAAATAACCAGCTCCTGTACTCATTGATTTTTGAAAGGTTTTTCCTGTCTCTATCTCCTTCAGTTCTGCTTTGATCTTAGTTGTCAGATATAAAAAGAGTTCCTCTTTAAAAGTTTGGCTTGTTTAGCGTCCTTGCTCTTTGTTCCCTACTCCCAAAGCCAAACTACATTCCTTATCCTTTATGCCTCCCCGTTTTAGTTTCAGTAAACAACTTTCCTATCATTCCTTATCTACAGAGCCCACATCTGCTAATCATTCTGTAAATCACCCCTCCCATTGTCCACCAGTGTAATCACACCCCTGCCCCTTTCAAGTTAGCCAATCAAGTTCAGTGTCGATTTGTACAGTCCAACTCCAGCTAACAGAGACTAGACACATGTCAGAGATGATAAATTCATCTTCAAAAAGTTTTAGTTCTGTGTTCTTCCTGTTCTTTGTTTCTCCAGTTTCTATAGTTAACTGTGCTATAAACAACCCTTCCCACCAGTCCTAATCTATAACTTACATCTGTTCTGTTCCCTTAGTTACGCACTCTACAACTATTCTTCCTGCTGAAACTACTTGTCCTACCACTGTAACCCACATCCTTGCTCTATTCAGATTAGCCAATCAAAATTAGCTTCAATTATACAGTCCAACTCAGTCAGTAAAAAAAAGACACAACAGTAAAAGCCCCTTGTGTTAAAAATAAAAAACCCTGCCCACCCCTCTTGGTGTGCTTTCAAAATGACAAATGCAAATAACACCCTTCTACTAAGAGAGGAGACCACCCCTCATATTGTCTTATGCCCAACTTCTGCCTCCAAAGAAAGAAGAAGTAAAAACTAAAAGGCAGAAATGAAATCCACAGGCAGGCAGCCCGGCGCTGTGCCCTGGGCCTGGTAGTTAAAGATCGACCCCTGACCTAACCAGTTATGTCATCTATAGATTCCAGACATTGTATGGAAAAGCACTGTGACAATCTCTGTCCTGTTCTGTTCCATTCTGATTACTGGTGCATGCAGCCCCCAGTCACGTACCCCCTGCTTGCTCAATCAATCACGACCCTCTCACACAGACCTCCTTAGAGTTGTAGGCCCTTAAAAGGGACAGGAATTGCTCACTTGGGGAGCTCGGCTTTTGAGATGCAAGTCTGCTGAAATTTCCAGCTGAATAAAGCTCCTCACTTCTTTAACCCGGTGTCTGAGGAGTTTTGTCTGTGGCTTGTTCTGCTACATTTCTTGGTACCCTGACCAGGAAGCGAGGTGATTAACAGAGGCCAAGGCAGCCCCTTAGGCAGCTTAGGCCTGCCTTGTGGAGCATCCCTGTGGGGACTCCAGCCAGCTTGAGCGATGCAGATCCTGAGAGCGCTCCTGGGTAGGCATTTGCCCCAGTGGAACGCCTCCTCAGAGCAGTGCACGGCAGGCCCCCGCAGAGGGTCAACGCAGTGGCTGAACACCGGGAAAGAACTGGCACTTGCAGTCTGGACATCTGAAACTTGGTAAGACTGGTCTTTGGAACTTGACCACTCCATTTGAGTGGAAGCGTGGCCTGATCACCCACGGCGTGTCTGTACCAGCACTTTGGTTTTTGTTTTTGACTTGACTTGGATGGCTTGATACTTTGGTTTTGGTTTTGACCTGGCTTGGATTTCTTGATACTCTGATTTGGTTTTGACTCTGGTTTGGTGTAAACTGTGAAAGTGTCTGTGTGCCCTTTTTACTTGTTCTTTGTTTTGCGGTGTGCATGTGGTGTTTTGTCTCGAGGAAGCATGGGTCAGGCACAAAGTAAGCCCACCCCACCAGGAACTATGTTGAAAAATTTCAAGAAAGGATTTAAGGGAGATTATGGTGTTACTCTGACACCAGGAAAAGTTAGAACTTTATGTGAAATAGACTGGCCAGCATTAGAGGTGGATTTCCCATCAGAAGTAAGCCTTGACGGGTCCGTTGTTTCAAAGGTATGGCACAAGGTAACCTGTAAGCCAGGGCACGCAAACCAGTTCCTGTACATAGACACTTGGTTACAGCTGGTTTTAGATCCGCCTCACAGTGGTTGAGAGAACAGCAGCATAAGCAGCTGACAGAGGCAAGGAAAGACCAGCAGAGAGAGAGAGATAGAGGAAAGAGACAGAGAGGGAAAGAGGCAAAGAGAGAGAGAAAGTGACAGGAAGAGACAGAAAGACAAAGAGGGAGTCAAGGAAAGAGAGAGAGAGAGAGATATACAAGTAGTTAAGAAAAAAAACAGTGTACCCTATTCCTTTAAAAGCCAAGGTAAATTTAAAACCTATAATTGATAATTAAAGGTATTATCCATAACCCTATAACACTCCAATAACACTTTCTTGTTGTCAGTGTAAACAAGGGAATACCCCAAAAGCATTGAGGCCGCTGATAACCCCTAGACTTCCTATCAAAAATCCTTGACCCAGTAACCTGCGGATGGCCCAAATGCATTCACTCTGTAGCGGCAACTGCTTTGCTAACAGAAGAAAGTAGAAAAATAACTTTTAGGGGAAACCTCATTGTGAGCACACCTTACCAGTTCAGAAGTATCCTAAGTTAAAAAAAAAAAAAAAAAAGACAAAAAGGTAGCTTACTAACTTAAAAATCTTAAAGTATAAGGGTATTCTGTTAGAAAAAAAAGAAAAAAGATGATTTAACATTAACTACTGAAAATTCCCTTAACCCAGCAGGTTTCCTAACAGGGGATTTAAATCTTAATTACTATACAAAGGTTCAACCAGACCTAAGAGGAACTCCCTTCAGGACAGGATGATAGATGGTTCCTCCTGGGTAATTGAAGGAAAAAAAAAAAAGCCATCTATACCAATTCTAAGTTAATTTGAACTAAACAAGTTCTTATTAATAGCAAAGGATAATTGAAATCCCAAACTTACAAGGTTTTCAGCAAAAGTAAAGTGTGCTAAAAGTTAACAGTGTAACATATATTATAGTAACTTCTAATCTTGTGGCCTTAGACAGTCTAGTCCACAGACATAAAGGAAGTCCACTTTGGAAAAGAATGGTTATCATCTTCAAAAAAAAGGGAAAAAAAGTTGGGGGGGGCCGCGAAATTTATGTAAAAAGAATGTTATATGGTAAATTCTTATCCTGAAATAAATTAACTGGTTGTTTAAAGAAAGAAATGTTTGTAATAAGTCAGAAAGTTAACGCATGTCAAAGAATTGTCTGTGAAAGTCATGAAAGAGAAAAAAAAGTTATAAAAAAGAATTTATGCAAGAAATGTTGTATAATTTAAAAGTAATTGGGCCTCCTGAATGTAAAACTATTGAAGAAACAGTTTATGTGCAAGGTGTATAAGGAAAGTAAAATATACCTTTGGTAAAGGGATTATAAGGAGGCATAAGAATGTGGATTTTTACCTACATTAAAAGGTTAAAAAAAAGTTTTCTTTTGAAGGCTTAAGCAAGTTTTAAAACATTAATCATAAAGAAAATTCTGTGTGTAAACATATTAGCTAAAGTTAAAGAGGTATCATCCAGTTTTTCTGTGAACTAAACATTAAAATAAAAACACAACGGGTTTTTTCTTAAATCACTAACCTGCTCTTTAACAAAAACTATAAAAGGTTAAAAAGAGTCTATAAAAATCTTACCTTATGGTCCAACATTAAAAATTGAATAAATATGTCTACGAAGTTTTATGAAAACTAAGTTTAACATTAATAACACACTAATATAAAGGTGAAATTTACTTATCTGGTATAAAAATCACACAAGAAGCATTGTCTAATTTCTTAAAAATTATATACACTTTCCTTTCCCTCAAAACTAAAAGTCTTTTAGCACACGTACCACCCCTAGAATTTCTGGTAAACCAGCTCCAGCCTAAAGATCACATAAGAAGGAAAACTTGAGCCATCCTGTGAAGGAGCTTACCTTGTGCTGCTAACCGCTGAGACTGCTGTTCCTACAATGGAAAGGGGATGGATTCATCACACCCAAGTCAAGAAAGCACCACCCCCTCCAGAGTCATAGGCCATAGTCCCAGGGGAAAACCCTACCAAACTAAGCTAAGAAAAATTTAACTCTTTCATCTATTCTATTACTCTTTCTTCTTTCCTCACTCTATTGCTGACCATCTAGTTATTAACATAACCAAGTCAATTTTGCCTCAAACTATTGCATTTAATGCTTGCCTTGTTATACCCTGTGGGGACTTACCAAGTCAAAGACAGCCCTCTACTTCAGAAAAGTACCTCTGACCTTCCTGACTCTCCTCAGACTGGGCATTAGTAAATTGGGACCATTTAATCCAGGGAGATTTCCATAAAGACCCCAGTGCCAACTAGGAGTCTTGCCCCCCGATGTAGAGCTTTTATGCCATAGTTGGTCCAACATTCCGTGGACCACTACAGAGCAAGGATGGACTTCCCCAACCGGTTTTTGTAATTTCCTAAAACCATATGTTCATTTTACTAGAGGATCATAGAAGTTAAAGACTTAATACAAACTTTGGCAATTAAGCAGGTTACCAAGATGCAAATGCCTGGTTGGAATGGATCAAATATTCCCTCCACATGTTAAACAAAAGCAATTGTTATGCTTGTGCACATGGCAGGCCAGAGGCCCAGATTGTCCCCTTTCCACTAAGGTGGTCCTCCAGTCAACCAGGCATGGGCTGCATGGTAGCTCTTTTCCAGGATTCTACAGCCTGGAGTATTAAGTCATGCCAAGCTCTTTCTGCTATATCCGGAAGTCGAGCACCCTGTGGGTCAGCCCTCGAGGGCCATCCCGCTTCCGTCTTCCAACACTAGGTTCACTTCGTGTCTCTCATGACAGGGAGAAAACTTAGCATTCCTTGGAGACCTGAAGGGATGCAGTGAGCTTAAGAATTTTCAAGAGCTTATCAATCAGTCAGCCCTGGTTCATCCCCAAGCAGATGTGTGGTGGTATTGTGGTGGACCTTTACTGGGCACTCTGCCAAATAACTGGAGTGGCATTTGTGCTTTAGTCCAGTTGGCTATCCCTTTCACCCTGGCATTTCATCAACCAGAGGGAGGAAAAATAAGACATTGTAAAGTGAGAGAAGCCCCTTATGGGCCTTTCAACTCTCACATCTATTTAGATGCAATTGGAATCCAAAAGGGAATACCAGATCAATTTAAAGCCCAAAATCAAATAGCTGCAGGATTTGAGTCAATATTTTGGTGGGTGACAGTTAATAAAAATGTAGATTGGATAAACTACATCTATTACAACCAACAGCAACGAGCTTTTCATGAGTTAAAAGAAAAACTCATGTCGGCCCTAGCCCTGGGGCTACCTGACCAGACAAAACCTTTTACACTATATGTGTCAGACAGAGAAAAAAAAATGGCGGTTAGAGTTTTGACCCAGACCATGGGGCCCTGGCTGGGGCCAGTGGCCTACCTCTCTAAACAACTAGATGGCGTTTCTAAGAGTTGGCCCCCATGTTTGAGGGCTTTGGCAGCAACAGCCCTGCTAGCATAAGAAGTGGATAAGCTAACTCTTGGGCAAAACCTAAAGATAAAGGCCCCCCATACTGTGGTGACTTTAATAAATACCAAAGGACATCATTGGCTAAAGAATACTAGACTAACTAGATACCAAAGCTTGCTCTGTGAAAATCCCTGCATAACCATTGAAGTTTGCAACACCCTAAACCCCACCACCTTGCTCCCCGTATCAGAGAGCCCAGTTAAACATAACTGTGTAGAGGTGTTGGACTCAGTTTATTCTAGCAGGCCCAACCTCTGAGACCATCCTTGAACATCAGTAGACTGGTAGCTGCACGTGGACGGGAGCAGCTTCACCAACCCCTGCAAAGTGACTCTGAAGAAGATGACAAGCGCTGCTCCAGTCACACCCAGAAGCTGACTGGTCC
Organism: Homo sapiens; assembly: GCF_000001405.40. NCBI lineage: Eukaryota > Metazoa > Chordata > Mammalia > Primates > Hominidae > Homo > Homo sapiens. The sequence continues at coordinate 187,515,585 of NC_000002.12, forward strand.
ACGCACAGCCGAAGCATGAGGAAACTCATCATGGGACTCATTTTCCTTAAAATTTGGACTTGTACAGTAAGGACTTCAACTGACCTTTCCCAGACTGAGGACTGTTCCCAGTATATACGTCAAGTCACTGCGGTAGGACAAAAGGTTGCTACAGTTCTATTATTTTATGGTTATTATAAGTGTACCAGGACTCTAAAAGGAGCTTGTTTGTTTAATGCTATTCTATACAAGGTATATAGCCCTGGAAGTGACCAGCCTGATGTGTGCTATAACCCATCCTTTTTCCTAGTGCCCATAAAAACAGGCACACTTCTAGGCTTCCCAGTCTGTGCTTCCCGAGAAAAGAGAAGCATAGCTATAGGCAGCTGGAAAGATGATGAGTGGCCCCCTGAAAAAAATCATGCAGTACTATGGGCCTGCCACTTAGGCACAAGACGGCTAGTGGGGATACCAAACCCCCATTTATATGCTCAACCGAATCATACAGTTAAAAGCTGTCTTAAAAATAATAACTAATAAAACTGGTAGAGCTTTAACTGTTTTAGCCCAGCAAAAACCCAGATGAGAAATGCTATCTATCAAAATAGACTAGCCCTAGACTACTTGCTAGCAGCTGAAGAAGTAGTCTGTGGAAAATTTAACCTAAACAATTGCTGTTTGCACATAAATGATCAAGGGCAAGTAGTTGAAGACATAGTTAAAGATATGACAAAACTGGCACATGTGCCCTTGCAAGTGTGGCATGGATTTAATCCTGGGGCCATGGTTGGAAATGGTTTCCAGCACTAAAAGGATTTAAAACTCTTATAATAAAAATTATAATAGTAATAGGAACCTGCTTACTACTCCCTTGTTTGCTACCTGTACTCCTTCAAGTAATAAAAAACTTCATCACTACCTTAGTTCACCAAAATGCTTCAGCACAAGTATACTATATGAATCACTATTGATCTGTCTTGCAAGAAGACATGGGTAGTGAGGATGAAAGTGAGAACTCCCACTAATGAGAGAGGTTCTCAAAGAGAGGGGGATAAGGGAGGAGACCACCTCTCATATTGTCTTATGCCCATTTCTGCCTCCAAAGAAGGAAAAAGTAAAAACTAAAAGGCAGAAATGAAATTCACCGACAGACAGCCCAGTGCCACGCCCTGGGCCTGGTAGTTAAAGATCCACCCCTGACCTAACCGGTTACGTTATCTATAGATTCCAGACGTTGTATGGAAAAGCATTGTGAAAATCCCTTTCCTGTTCTGTTCCGTTGTGATTATCAGTGCACACAGCCCCCAGTCACGTACCCCTTGCTTGCTCAATCCATCACGACCCTCTCACGCGGACCCCCTTAGAGTTGTAAGCCCCTAAAAGGGACTGGAATTGCTCACTCGGGGAGCTCGGCTTTTGAGATGCAAGTCTGCTGAAGTTCCAGGCTGAATAAAGCTCCTTCCTTCTTTAACCTGGTGTCTGAGGAGGAGTTTTGTCTGTGGCTCGTCCTGCTACACTACAAAAGTAAAATTGCCTTACTAAGTAATCTTTTATTGAGCACACGTTTTCTTCGCAGCACCAAGCACTTGTTTCTAACCTTAGTTATTTCTTGGCTTCTGCTAGCTTTTGAATTTGTTTGCTCTTGCTTCTCTAGTTCTTTAAATTGTGGTATTAGGGTGTCAATTTTAGATCTTTCCTGCTTTCTCTTGTGGGCATTTAGTGCTATAAATTTCCCTCTAAACACTGCTTTAGCTGTGTCCCAGAGATTCTTGTATGTTGTGTCTTTGCTCTCATTGGTTTGAAATAACTTATTTATTTCTGCCTTAATTTTTATATTTACCCAGTAGTCATTTAGGAGAAGGTTGTTTAGTTTCCATGTAGTTGTGCAGTTTTGAGTTTCTTAATCCTGAGTTCTAATTTGATTGCACTGTGGTCAGACAAACTGTTTGTTATGATTTCCATTATTTTGCATTTGCTGAGGAGTGTTTTACATCCAATTATGTGGCTAATTTTAAAATAAGTGTGATGTGGTGCTGAGAAGAATGTATATTCTGTTGATTTGGGGTTGAGAGTTCTGTAGATGCCTGTTAGATCCACTCGGTCCAGAGCTGAGTTCAAGTGCTAAATATCCTTGTTAATTTTCTGTCTCATTGATCTGTCTAATATTGACAGTGGGGTGTTTAAGTCTCCTACTATTATTGTGTCAGAGTCTAAATCTCTTTGTAGGTCTCTAAGAACTTGATTTATGAATCTGGGTGCTCCTGTATTGGGTGCATATATATTAGGACAGTTAACTATTCTTGTTTCATTGATCCCTTTACCATTATATAACGCCTTTCTTTGGCTCTTTTGATCTTTGTTGGTTTAAAGCCTGTTTTATCAGAGACTGGGAATGCAACCCCTGCTTTGTTTTGGTTTCCATTTGCTTGGTCAATATTCCTCCATCCTTTTATTTTGAGCCTATGTGTGTCTTTGCACTTGACATGGGTCTCCTGAATAGAGCATACCAATGGGTCTTGACTCTGTATCCAATTTGCCAGTCTCTGTCTTTTAATTGGGGCATTTAGCCCATTTACATTTAAGGTTAATATTGCTATGTGTGAATTTGATCCTGTCATTATAATGCTAGCTGGTTATCTTGACTTTTAGTTGATGCAGTTTCTTCAGAGTGTTGTTGGTTTTTACAATTTGGTATGTTTTTGCAGTGGCTGATACAGATTGTTCTTTTCCATGTTTAGTGCTCCTAGAGGAGCTCTTTTAAGGCAGGCCTGGTGGTGACAAAATTTCTCAGCATTTGCTTGTCTGTAAAATATTTTATTTCTCTTTCCCTTATGAAGCTTAATTTGGCTGGATACGAAATTCTAGGTTGAAAATTCTTTTCTTTAAGAATGTAGAATATTGGCCCCACTCTCTTCTGGCTTGTAGAGTTTCTGCAGAGAGATCTGCTGTTAGTCTGATAGGCTTTGCTTTGTGGGTAACCCAACCTTTCCCTCTGGCTGCCCTTAACATTTTTTCCTTTATTTCAACTTTGGTGAATCTGACGATTATGTGTCTTTGGGTTGCTCTTCTTGAGGAGCATCGCTGTGGTGTTCTCTGTATTTCCTGAATTTGAGTGTTGGCCTGTCTTGCTAGGTTGGGGAAGTTCTCCTGGATAATATCCCGAAGAGTGTTTTCCAGCTCCTTTCCATTCTCCCAGTCACTTTCAGGTACACCAATCAAACGTAGATTTGGTCTTTTCATATAGTCTCATGTTTCTTAGAGGCTTTGTTCATTCTCCTTTTTCATTCTTTTTTCTCTAATCTTGTCTTGACACTTCATTTCATTAAGTCAATCTTCTACCTCTGATATCCTTTTTTCTGCTAGATTGATTCAGCTATTGATACTTGTGTATGCTTCACGAAGTTCTCATGCTGTGTTTTTTAGCTCCATCAGGTCATTTATGTTCTTCTCTAAACTGGTTATTCTAGTTAGCAATTTCTATAATCTTTTTTTTAAGATTTTTAGCTTCCTTGCATTGGGTTAGAACATGCTCCCTTAGCTTGGAGGAGTTTATTATCCACCTTCTGAAGCCTACTTCTGTCAATTCATCAAACTCATTCTCCGTCCAGTTCTGTTCCCTTGCTGGCAAGGAGTGTGATCTGTTGGAGGAGAAGTGTTCTGGTTTTGGGAATTTTCAGCCTTTTTGCGCTGGTTTTTCCTCATCTGCATGGATTTACCTACCTTTGGTCTTTGATGTTGGTGACCTTCAGATGGGGTTTCTGTCTGGATGTCCTTTTCGTTGATGTTGATGCTATTCCTTTCTGTTCGTTAGTTTTCCTTCTGAAAGTCAGGCTCCTCTGCTGCAGTGCAGGTCTGCTGGAGTTTGCCTGAGGTCCACTCCAGACCCTGTTTGCCTGGGTATCACCAGCAGAGGCTGCAGAACAGCAAAGTTTGCTGCCTGTTACTTCCTCTGGAAGCTTTGTCCCAGAGGGCACCTGGCAGATGCCAGCTGGAATTGTCCTGTATGAGGTGTCCATCCGCCCCTGCTGGGAGTTGTCTCCCAGTCAGGAGACACAGGTGTCAGGGATCCACTTGAGGAGGCAGTCTGTCTCTTACCAGAGCTCGAGTGGTGTGCTGAGAGATCCTCTGCTCTCTTCAGAGCTGGCAGGCAGGTACATTTAAGTCTGCTGAAGCTGAGCCCACAGCCTCCCCTTTCCCCAGGTGTTCTGTCCCAGGGAGATGGGAGTTTGATCTATAAGCCCCTGACTGGGGCTGCTGCCTTTTTTTCCAGAGATGCCCTGCCTAGAGAGGAGGAATCTAGGGAGGCAGTCTGTTTACAGAGGCTTTGCTGAGCTGTTGTGGGCTTCGCCCAGTTGGAACTTCCCTGGGGCTTTGTTTACACTGTGAGGGGAAAACCAGCTACTCAAGCCTCAGTAATGGTGGACGCCCCTCCCCCTACCAAGCTAGTGCGTCCCAGGGCGACTTCAGACTGCTATGCTAGCAGCAAGAATTTCAAGCCAATGAATGTTAGCTTACTGGGCTCTGTAGGTGGTGGGATCCGTTGAGCTAGACCACTTGGCTCCCTGGCTTCAGCCCCCTTTCCAGGGGAGTGAACAGATCTGTCCACTGGCATTCCAGGCACCACTGGGGTATGAAAAAAACTCCTGCAGCTAACTTGGTGTCTGCACAAATGGCTTCCTGTTTTGTGCTTGAAACCCAGGGCCCTGGTGGGGTAGGCACCTGAGGAAATCTCCGGGTCTGTGGGTTGTGAAGACCATGGGAAAAGCATCGTATCTAGGCTAGAGTGCACCATTCCTCAGGGCACAGTTCCTCTTGGCTTCCCCTGGCTAGGGGAGGGAGTTCCCCAATCCCTGGCACTTCCCTGGTGAAACAATGCCCCACCCTGCCTTGGCTTGCCCTCTATGGGCTGCACCCCCTGTCTAACCAGTCCCGATGAGATGAGCCAGATACCTCAGCTGGAAATGCAGAAATCACCCACCTTCTGCGTTGATCTCTGCGGGAGCTGTAGACTGGAGCTCTTCCTATTCGGCCATCTTGCCAGCCACCCGTACTGTACTTTGGAAGAAAGTCACTACATATAGCCAGCACTTTAAAAGAATGGAGAATTATGGTCCCTATCCTTAAGGTGAGAGTATCTATATAAATTGTTCGGAATACTTTTGCACCAGATATTTGTCTCTCTGTATTAAATTATTTAATCCTTTATTTATATAAGTATGGACTCATGGATATATATTCTATACTTTATGTTATAATTCACTATGACTTTACTTACATTGTTGCTCAAATGGTCTCCTGGCTTTGGCAAATTTGAGAGAGCATTCAGTTGGCTCCTGTACTTCTTTGAGATAGCTCCATCAATATGAGTTTTTAATTTTTTCTGAGTGCCTTACTTTTTGTCACTACTAGATGCCCCAGTCTCATATTGTATATTTTATGCCCCACTCTTATAATCACAGACATTTCTCCAAGAAGCCCTGATTCCTTCTACTAGAGATTGGTATTAGAAACCCAGATCTGGGCACTAGGCATGCTCATTGTTATTGGGATGTCATTTCTTTTAGGCCTTCTTTTTGGCAGATTAAAGGAATATATGTGTATATTCTATCCTATCTGTAAAGGTATACTATCTTTAAATACATCAATATGTTCTGTGACTGGCTTATTTTACTTAGTATACCATCCATGTTGTCACAAATAGCAGAATCTCCTATTTTAAGGCAGAATAATATTTCACTGTATATATGTATATACCACATTTCTTCATTCATTTTTAAAAAGATACTTGAATTGTTTCCATATCTTGGTTATTGTGAGTAATACCTCAGTGAACATGGGAATACAGATATCTTTTCAAGACTCTGATTTTAATTCTTTTTTTATATGTACCCAGAGGTAGAACTGCTGGGTTGTATGGCAGTTTTATTTTTAATTTTTGAGAAACCTTCATATTAATACCCATAGCTACTCTACCATTTTACATCCCCGCCAACAATTTGCCAGCATTTCAATTTCTTTTTTTTGAGACAGAGTCTCACTCTGTCACCCATGGTAGAGGGCAAAGGTGCAGTCTCGGCTCACTGCAACCTCCACCTCCCGGGTTCAAGTGATTCTCCTGCCTCAGCATCCCGAGTAGCTGGGATTACAGGCGCCTGCCACCATGCCTGGCTAATTTTTGTATTTTTAGTAGAGACAGGGTTTCACCATGTTGGCCAGGCTGGTCTCCAACTGCGGACCTCATGATCCACCTGCCTCTGCCTTCCAGAGTGCTGGGATTACAAGCGTGAGCCACTGCACCAGGCCCAGCATTCCAATTTCCACACATCCTTGCCAACATGTTACATTTCGAGTTTTTAGAAAAATAGCCATTTTAACAGGCATAAACTGATATCTCATTATTATTTGATTTTCATTTCCTTGGTAAATAATGCTGCTGAGCATCTTTATATATCTTATTTGTACGTCTTCTTCGGAGAAAAATGTGTTTAACTCCTTTGCCCATTTTTTAAAAATTTCTGCTATTGAGTTGAAGGAGTTCCTTATGTATCTTGGAAATTATCAGATATATGACTTGAAAATATGTTCTCTCATTTCAGTTTGTCTTTTTATTCTGTTGATTGTTTCTTTTGCCACGCAGAGCTTTTTAATTTGATGTAATCTTGTCTATTTTTGCTTTTGTTGCTTGTACTTTTGGTCTCATATTCAAAAAATCATTGCCAAGACCAATGTCAAGATTTTCCCCTATGCTTTTGTCTAGAAGTTTTACATTTTCAGGTAGTAACTATAATAGTTAAACTGATAGAAGAAGAGAATACAATAGTGGTTGCTAGGGCCTGGAGAGTGGGGAAAATAGAGTGCTTGTTGTTCAATGGGTACAAAGTTTTAGTTATGCTAGAATAGTAAATTCTAGAGATCTGCTGTACAACATATTGTTTATTGTTAACAACATGGTATTTTGTGTTTCAAAATTTCTTAAGAGGGCAGATCTATTTTGTCTTCCTATCACAAAACAAACAGAAAACGAAAACAAAATAAAAAGGCGGGGTGTGGTGGCTCATACCTGTAATCCCAGCACTTTGGGAGGCGGAGGTGGGTGGATCACGAGGTCAGGAGATCAAGACCATCCTGGCTAACATGGTGAAACCCCGTCTCTACTAAAAATACAAAAAAAAAAAAAAAAACCCAGGCACGGTGGTGGGCGCCTGTAGTCCCAACTACTCGGGAGGCTGAGGCAGGAGAATGGCGTGAACCCGGGAGGTAGAGATTGCAGTGAGCCGAGATCGTGCCGCTGCACTCCAGCCTGGGTGACAGAGCGAGACTGTGTCTCAAAATAAATAAATAAATAAATAAATAAATAAATAAATAAATAATAAAAAACAGAGACACAACAAAACTTTGGAAGGTGTTGAATATGTCTATTATTTTGATTGTGTTGATGGGTATTTATTTGCATATGTACAAACTCATCAAATTTTACATAACAAAAAATGTGCATGTTTCACTGAGATACAATCACTATACAAGGAACTGCACATATTACTGTCTAAAATTTGATGAGTTTGTGCAGTTTTTAAATAGTGATTATATCTCAATGAAGTTGTTTAAAAACTTCAGTGAAATAAATAAATACATAAATAAATAAGGAACCAACTTTGTTTAAGTGAAACATGAGTTCTTATGCATGTGTTCAACACATGAATTATTTTAGCCCTTGAAACTCAACTATCACTATCCACCAACTCTTTAATTAATTGTTCAATTAAAATATACATGTATAGCAATAGGAATATTGTTAACCCATATGTCCATGGAATACAGCTTTATTAACTAGAGGGCAGTGTCTGTGTGCAGTTCCTTTTACCTTTAGACTTATAGGCTCCACTTATTTTCAATGTTATTTAGTTCAGCCCTCCTCCACCCCCAAACTCCTTCAGTGAGGTTGCCTTAAACATTCATAGCAGAGTGAGATTTTCTTGTCACAGTCTGCATTCCTTCCAAATTCCTGACCTTTTAATTTATTTTTTTTAAATTGTATAAATTAAGGTTCACTCTTTGTGCTGTAGCTGTCTATGGGTTTCAACAATTGCATAGTGACACATATCCACAGAATAGTTGTAGTATCATACAGAATATTTTCCTCTAAAAATTCTCTGTGCTTCATCCATTCATCCTCCTCCTTCCCTCCTCTATTCCCTTTGAAGTTACTGATCTTTTTACTGTATCTATAGTTTTTAAGTAATTCAATCATTCACAATTTTGTACAAATATTATTACAGTCAATTTTAGAATATTTTCATTCCCCCATAAGGAAATTCTCCACCCTTTAGGCTTCACCCTCTTCCCTTAAAGTTCTCCATCTCTACATTAGTAGGAAACAATTATTTGGCTTCTGTCTCTATGTATTGCCAATACTGAAAGCTTTAGTTAAATGGAATAATATAATATCTGGCCTACTATGTCTGGCTTCTTTCACTTAGCATACTGTTTTCAGGCTCCATTCATGCTGTAGCATATATGATTGCTTTCTTTTTATTGCTGAAAATATTTTATAGTATAAATATACCAAAATTTATTTATTCATTCATCAGTTAATGAAAATTTTTGCTGTTTCTACTTTTTGCTTATTATGAATAATGCTGCTATGAACATTTGTATACAAGTTTTGGTGTGAACATAGGTTTGCATTTCTCTTGGGTATATAACTCGGGGTAAAATTCTTGAATCACATGGCAATTCTATGTTTAACCATTTGAGGAATTTCCAGACTGCTTTCCAAAGTAGCTGCACCATTTTCCTTTCATACCAGTAATGTCTTCCTTTCTTTTTTGAATGACACTCATCACCATTTATATATTTATGTGCATTTATATATTTATGTGTGCTGTCTCCACCACTAAAATGTTTTCTATTCTTAGCACAGGCACTTTACATAGGATTCACAACTCTGTGTTCAATACCCCAAACAATGACTGATACAAGTAATACTTGATGAATAATTAATAAATTAGAATAAACTTTGTGAGTTAAAATTAGGCGGCAGTACAGATCTTTGGATATATGCATGGTGTTTTATTACTACCAATTCCACCAAAAAATAAAGAGATCAGAAACAAGTATTGTGAAATGGTGCCATAAATATTTTTAAAATTGTGTCTTGTATTGCTTTTCATTTTTTAAAGGTATGAAATACTTCAATTAAAATTGTTTTAAAGAATCTGTAATGAAAATGAAACAAATGACATAGATTTAACATTTTTTAAATTTTGCTGAAATGATAGGTATTTTTCAAGTCAAAGAAAACAGATAAGAATGATTGCTGAAATTCCAGCAAAAGAGAAATGTGAGTCTGTGGGAAAGATGACTAAAGAAAGGTGGGCTTAGAAAAGAGATAATTAGGTAGAAGAAATGCATAATTTGCTATTTTACTCTTTCTTTATAATATTAATATTTATGAGAGAATATGTGAAAGAGAGGTCAATGTTCTGTATTGAATCTACTAAGAGAGGACACAAGAAAGGAAAGGAAAGAAAAAAGGAAGACCTTTGAGACTTTCACTTTTTATGAACTCTTCTATGAACTTCATATGAACTATAATCCCCCTAATAGCCCTAACCTATAAGAAGTATGATGTGCATCTTAAGAAAACTGAGGTTCATAAAGGGAATATAACCTTCCAAGTAGCATAAAACAGAGTAATATTTGCACTCATAACTCTGTGAGTCCAGAATTCATGGACACTTCACCATACAAAGCTGACTTCCCAATAATTACTTTGTCTCCAGCATCATCTGGAAAGCATTCTGCCTCCAGTTGTCTTCATAATTATTCTGGTTTGCTTGGCAAGTAGCTCCTTTCTTTCTCCCTTCCTCCCTTCCTTTTTTTCTCCTTCCTCCCTCTTTCCCTCTCTCTTTCTCAGCTCTTCCTTTCTTTTTTAAGTTCGTTTAGTGGTTAAGAAGAGGGGGTTTGTAGTAAGACTGTTTTAGGGGCTGAATTGTGTCCCCTTTCAAATTTATATGTTAAAGTTTTAACTCCCAGTACTTCAGAATTCAACTGTATTTGAAAACAAGGCCTCTAAAGAGGTTACTAAGAATAAATGATGTCATTGTTGTTGAGTCCTAATCCAATATGACTGGTATCCTTATAAAAACAGGAGATTAGGACACATAGAGGAAAGACTGAACATCTATAAATCAAGGACAGAAGGCTCAGAAGAAACCAATCTTACTGATCACCTTGATCTCAAACTTATAGCCTCCAGGACCATGAGGAAATAACAAACTATTCATTTTTAGCACTTTGTTATGGCAGCCCTAGCCAACTAAAACAGACTATAAAGCTTCAAATATCAGTTCCGTAACTTACTAATTATATGAATTTGATACTATATTTACTTCCTATTTGTCTCTATTTACTTATCTATAAAATGAGTATTTTACTAGAACCTACTACATAGTATTATGAGGATTAAATATAAAAGAATTAGAATAGTGACTAGCTTGATAATGTTAGCTATTATAATTTTTATAAGCAATCCTTGAAAACCTCTTGGGTACACTGTAGAAACAGAAGCTCAGTATTTATAGATCTTATTCTGCATTGAGAATGTCATCTCAGACTTTTTGAAGGTCTAAAAATATAACTGAAAAATAGCACTGATTTGGAAAGAGTTTAGGATCAAACCGAGAGACATTTTTGTTTGAATTTGGTTAAGCATGGGAGCTTAGATTTGAAAGACTACAAGTGGTAAGGTGAAGCAGTACAGGTCTCAATGTAAAAGACATGTTCTAAAGATTCAGATCCATTGGAGCTAAAATATTTTGGCAATTTGGCTTTGGTGGCCAGAAGAAAAAACCTCGAAAGGAATAGCAACAGATATTGACAAAAATGAAATTTATGGGATGAAAAAAAAGAGCAAGAAGCTCACATAGAATTAAAGAGAGTAATAGGATTAAATCATAACATTAAATTTCCAGTTCATTATTTTGGGAAAAGCATGATACAACTAGCAGGCAGTTATTGATCTGTTTTATCATTAGTTTTGGGGTATACACATTATTTTATCATCTTTAAGTGAATCTAGAAAAAAATTTATGGTGCTAACATGTATACTAAAAGCATGGTACTTATCTAAAGTTTCTAGTTCAGATTTTTCTCTTTATTACATATTGTTGAATTTTTTTCTTTTTTAAAGTTTTACTATTAATCTCTAAGCTCAATGAGTACTTTGCCATGTCTAAAAGAAGGAAATTTCATTTTAGCTGCTGATTTATGGTGTACCAGTGGAAGACAGGAGAGACAAAACCTGACAACCAGAAAAGAAAAAAAAATAAATTGAAGAATCTTTCTAATTTTCTGCTCAGCAGTGGCTAATGTTGTTGTCCTCTTGTTGTTGATTACTTCCATCCACTCAATTTGGCTGATCTCCAGGGGGCCTACCCTTCTGTCCACTAAAACCTGGCAGCCTGTTTTTTGTTTTGTTTTATCTTTAACTGATGTGCTTTCATTTTGTTTTATTCTATTTTGATTGTTTTTCATTTTGGGTGAGTTTACAGCACACTAATACCAAAGAAAATGAATAAAGAAAACATTAGAATAAAACTATGTTGGAGGAGAAGGGGAACAACAAACTCTACAGGAATTCTGATAGCTTTCTATTTCCTTTTTTTGAAGTTTACTTTTTGCAAGTAGTATTCTCAATTGTAAATCCACAAAATATTGAGAATAACTAGGATCTGCAAATGGATTTTTGTTAATAAACATTCTTTACTAGATTTCCAACTGTATTTCCCCAATGGAGAACTTGCATAATCTCAGGGAGAGGTTTGAGAGCCAGATTTTTCTCAGGAAAAGAGTATTTCCTGAATAAATACATTGTGGGAATGCAAATGTTTGAGCAGTTTCCCAGGGGAGGTTTAAGGCCGTGTGACTGCACATTTGCCACGTACCAAATTCTAACAAGTCGGCACAGAGCCTGCTTTATCTCTTTATTAATGTCCCTGTTGGGTCCCACATTTTTGGGATGTCGAGTCATCACTATAAAGATTATTTTGGCATTAAGGTTCTTTATATATGACATAAAATTAAAAAGATAAAATTTTGTAAATTTGGCTGTATGCTGAATATATACCACATTTATTTAAAGCAATAATATTAGAAGTGCAAAGATGTATCATTATAAAACATCATTTTTTATAATGGTTTACTATTTTCACAGTGGTTTCTTATCTGTTAGACTACATATTGACAATAATACTGTGCAAGTATGTTGAATAGTGCTATGCAGGTACGTTGAATTTATCTTAGAGCTACATAATATATTTTTCAGCATTATATGACTAGATGGCTAGTAAGTGACAAAGGCAGAACTAGAACCTGGACTACATTATCCCAGAACATCCTGAAAAATAAACAAAATATATGAAATAGAGGCCAAAGCCCAACCCAGGAAAATATAATAAATAAATATATTAATTAAATTTGTCTATATTTATTTTTGATTCAGTGAGTTGCCTAAATGTTTTCTATTTCTAAATTAAAATCTAAATTTCATTTATATTTATTATCATAAAGTACTTCTACATCACTCTATCCACATATATAGGAATCTGGGTTTCAGCCCAAACCCTAATTAACCTCATCAGAGAAGGGCGTAGGTCTAAAGCTTAGAAACCTGGAGAATTGCCTCTCACAGCTGGGAATAGGGCAAAGAAGTTCACCCAACAGTCAAACCCTGAATGAATGGATTAGTACAAGCCTAAACAAGAGAATGTCTAAAGAGATACTTGAAAATCTATTAAGTATTATATTTATTTTCCCTTCAAACTTGAAAGGAAATACAAAGCATTTATATACCAGTTTTTTTTAAAAAAAGTCTTGGCTAAAGAGTTGAAAAGAGCAAACCCTGTTTTATTTCAGCCTCCTTTCAAACATGTTATTATGGTCAATTCAAATTATCTGGGATGAATTGTTATATGAAGATTAAGTCTGTTTAGATTTGCTCTGTAGATGCCATTTTATTACTATAGGAACGTTAAATTACAGTTTGTCCTTCTAATTATAACAATCATAATGTAAATAGCAGTTTCCATTGTTGAATCTTTATTATTATTGCTTTTCTCATTTGTATCTCATACTCACCTTAAAAGAACATTATCTTATGCTCATTTTATAAAGGTAAGAAACAATGGTTCAAAATAACAAATTGTCCAAAAAACAGCAGTGTAACTATATTTGACCCTGAAGCAAATGCCTTTAATCACTGCTCTATGCTGTCAGATTTTTTAAGATAGTGTTGGTAAAAAAAAAAAAAAATTAGTAAAAATCATATTTAACACTGATGTATAGATTGAGTAGTGTGACTCCTTTTTATAAAAATGGTAAGAATTTGAAAAAGGCAGTAAAGATTTGATACAGGCAGTCACCATCTTATAATGGAGTCATTCCAAACTATGTTGGTAGGACCAGTTTTTTGGAACACTGAACATACAATATTATAAATGAAATTTATGTTGATAGTTAACTGGTAAAAACAAACGAACACGAATAAAAAAGCCTCAATGCATAAGGATGAACTAGTCCAGGTTTGAAGTTTGGTAAGAATGCTGCATCAGACCCAGTTCAAGGTGGCTTTTATTTGCTATCACTTCCAAACAGCCAATAAGTCTTAGAATGGATCTTCACCAGGTAAGAATACAATTGATTCTGTGAGTGAAGCTCTCAGGAGCTCTCTCAGTCTATTAGGGTTGCTGTAACAAAATATCACAGACTGTGTGGCTTAAACAACAGAAATTTGTATCTCACAGTTCTGGAGGCTAGAAAATCCAAGATCAAGGTGCTGGTCCAATCGTTCCTGGTGAGGGCTCTCTCTTGGCTTGCCAATGGTGGCTGCTTTCTCCCTATGTCCTCACATGGCCTTTCCTGTCCTGTGTGCACATGGAGAGAAAGAAAGATATCTTTTCTCTAAGGCCTTCTTTAAGGCCATCAATCCTACTGAATTAGGATTGAACATTTATTATCTCATTTATGTTAATTACCCCCTAAAACCTTACCTTCAAATGCAGTCACATTGGGGGTTAGGTATCCAACATTTTGGGGAAACACAACTCAGAGCAGGAACATTCCTAGTGTTTCAAGAAAGTGTCTCTAACTTGGTTGCAAGTTTGTCTTGGAAGTGGGGGTCACTGCCTTTCTATCAGTAGGCTGGAGCTGAAGATACATCAGCCCTAGAGTGCACTTTCTAATGTGCAATTCAATTCTTTCCTTTCCACATAGCTATAGACTTTGATTCTCTGTTTCTTGCGGCATTACTAACCTTTAGGCAGGACTGGTCATATCAATCACATTTCTATTGAAAATACAGCAATCGCCAACTTCTTATGTTGTACATTTTATGATAATTTGCCCAAACTATGGTGTTTGTTTATTCGTTTGTTTTTGGTTGTTCCTTAAGAGTGAAGTACTGGTCTGGGAAAGTGACTGTTTTCTGTAAGTGTTCTCCAATGAGAAAGTGTATTTTTTGCTCACAATAAGAAGGAAAGACTTGGCAGGGAAAACAGATCCTCACCTTCGAATTCCTTCTCTACCCTTATTTCTCAACTGTAATTGCAAATCACATGTAAGAGAGCAGAAGGCACTGCCCTGGAGGTCAATTCTTGTAACCTGAAATTGAGTAATATATTTGTTTTCTGATTCAGTTAGTTGTGCAGACTAACTATGAAAGTACCCAGAAGGCTTGTTTTGAAATTGGAGATCTTTTTCAAAATTGCGCACAATAAAATTCGCATACTAAACATTCTAAGGGCCCTAATCTAAATATGTAATATTTACCACAAGATTTTAGGAAAATGATCAGTTATTATCATGAATATGAAAAAAGTTGGAAAGACATTCCCAATGGCAGCAGAGAGAAAACCTGGTAAATCCTACCCATATTGTCAACATTATCTCTTCACTTTTGGCATCGTCCCCTGACTTAATCACATGAATGGAATGGAAATATTGCTTCTATATAAAATCTCTACTCAAGTGGTGTCTTTCAGAGCGTAAAATAACTTGATGGTTACGTTCTCTTCCTTCCTATGCTTTTTAAATCACTGTACCTCTTCCTGTGTTACACATTATATATTTATTTGCTTACTCTGTCTTTTCTCTCAAATGTAAGCTCTTTAAATATGGGAATCATGTTTGTTCTTTCTGGTACCCTCTGGAACTCAATGGATATTTGTGAAATAAATCTTTTATGAATTAAAAATTCGGTAAAAATTGTTTTATTTTGTATTTTTTTTACAGAAAGTAAAAGGTCACTGGAGAAATTTAAAACAAATATATAAGCTAAAATTATTTTAAATGGTATGAATAAAAGTGAATATAATGGGTAATGGGCCTCGAGTATAAACTAATCCTTTATTAGGGAAGACAATTATTACTTAACTAATCATTTTTCCTTTCTTCCACCTTTGTTTCTCACAAAACCTGTCCATATTCTGTACTCATAAAATGTATTCTCAAAACTTCTATTAAATGGACAGTAATGGAGTCACAGCAGCATCTGGCCACAACTGACTTGCCAAGGAGTCAATACCTTTACAGACTCAGGCTAACTACTGTCTGTAGAAAGGTGTGTGGTATAGAGTTCTACAGAGGGCCAGTACTAGAGAGGCTGCTGCAGTAAACTTAGTTGTTTATATTTTAGTTTCTGGCTTAGCTCATGACTGTAGAGTCTCTAATATACTCTATATTCTACCAAAGAATTCCAAATTGTGCTTTCAAGGTCTTATTATATAAAATGTTTATTGTGTCTGAATGAATTCAGTCCGACAATGAATCATTAAAATGTGATGTATTTTATCAGCACCTTATTGATGTAATAATTCGTTTCTTTTTACAGTTATTACAAGTGTCAATAACAGAAAAATATTCACAGAAATTTTTCTGTTTTTTTGCAACCATTTGATTATAAATAAATTTTCATATCAATTTTTCTATTTAAAAATATCGATAGCATATTCCTCTTTTGATATGATTTATATGATCATGATAATCGTACAAGTTCTATGTCAACCAAAAATTTTATTTTTCCTCATCTCTGCAATGGGAAAAATTAAAAAAGGTTTACCAATGCAGTCACCTAGAAATTGACCATTTTATTTATGTTTGATGCCATTTACAAAAATAGTTTATTTTTCATGTAAGTGATACATTGACATGTCTAAAGACAGCATTCTATTTGATATTATTAAAATTGTATTCATTATAGTTAAATAAAATTTTTCTATGACCTTTTATAATACACTTAAATACTTTCTTCCAAAGGTAGAAAGGATTGAGAGAATGAAGATTTCTTACCAACTGCTTTTATTTAAAATTTTTTTTTCAAAATTGGAGGATTCTATTTATTTTTAGCTACATATTTAACTAACTGTTCTATTCTTTTAGTATTTAAAATATTAAAACTGTCTTTTTACACTGGAAAAGTAATACATGTGTATTTTTCCAAATCATAAAACATAAAGCAGAATAAAGAAAATACAGAATAACCATCAATCTGCCTATTCAGAAGCAACCTCTGGTTGTATATGATTTCTTATGCATGTTAATATGTATAAGTGTGTGTATATGTGTGATTATATTTATATGAGCATATGTGAATGATCATTGCACATATATTGTTTGGTAACCTCCTTTGTCATTGAATGAGATAATATTGATAACTTTTGAGTTGCAGGCAAGATGGCTGAATAGAAACAGCTCTGGTCTGCAGCTTCCAGTGAGATCAATGCAGAAGGTGCGTGATTTCTGCATTTCCAACTGAGGTACCCAGCTCATCTCATTGGGACTGGTTAGACATTGGGTGTAGCCCATGGAGGGCAAGCCGAAGCAGGGTGCTGCGTTGCCTCACCTGGGAAGCACAAGGGGTCAGGGAACTCCCTCCCCTAGCCAAGGGAAGCCGTGAGGGGCTGTGCCATGAAGAACAGTGCATTCTGGCCCAGATACAACGCTTTCCCCATGGTCTTTGCAACCCGCAGACCAGGAGATTCCATCGCGTGCTTACGCCATTGAGGCCCTGGGTTTCAAGAAAAAAATTGGACAGCCTTTGGGCAGTCACCTACCAAGCTGCGGGAGTTTTTTTTTTCATACCCCAGTGGCGTCTGGAATGCCAGTGAGACAGAACCATCATCCCCTGGAAAGGGGGCTTAAGCCAGGGAGGCAAGTGGTCTAGCTGAGTGGATCTCAGCCCCATGGAGCCCAGCAAGCTAAGATCCACTGGTTTGAAATTCTTGCTCCTAGCACAGCAGCCTTAAGTCGACCTGGGATACTCCAGCTTTGTCAGGGGAGGGGCATCCGCCATTACAGAGGCTTGAGTAGCCGGTTTTCCCCTCACAGTGTAAACAAAGCCCCAGGGAAGTTCCAGCACAGCTCCTCAAACCCACTGTAGCCAGACTGCCTCTCTAGATTCTTCCTCTCTGGGCAGGGCATCTCAGAAAGAAAAACAGCAGCCCCAGTCAGGGGCTTATAGATCAAACTCCCATCTCCCTGGGACAGAGCACCTGGGGAAGGGGTGGATGTGGACACAGCTTCAGCAGACTTAAACATTCGTGTCTGCCAGCTATGGAGCGAGCAGCGGATATCCCAGCACAGTGTTCGAGCTCTGCTAAGAGACAGACTGCCTCTTCAAGTGGGTTCCTGACCCCCGTGCCTCCTGACTGGGAGACACCTCCCAGCAAAGGTCAACAGACACCTCATACAGGAGAGCTCCAGCTGGCATATGGTGGGTTCCCCTCTGGGATGAGGCTTCCAGAGGAAGGAATAGCAGTAATCTTAGCTGTTCTACAGCCTCCACTGGTGATACCCAGGCAAACAGGGTCTGGAGTGGACCTCAAGCAAACTCCAGCAGACCTGCAGCGGAGGGACCTGACTGTTAAAAGGAAAACTAACAAACAGAAAGGAATAGTATTAACATCAACAAAGAGGACATCCACACAGAAACCCCACACAAACGTCACCAACATCAAAGACGAAAGGTACATAAATCCAGAAAGATGAGGAAAAACCAGCACAAAAAGGCTGGAAATTCCAAAAACCAGAACATCTCTTCTCCTCCAAAGGATCACAACTCCTTGCCAGCAAGGGAACAAAACTTGATGAAGAATGAGTTTGATGAATTGACAGAAGTGGCTTCAGAAGGTGGGTAATAACAAACTCCTCCAAGCTAAGGGAGCATGTTCTAACCCAATGCAAGGAAGCTAAGAACCTTGAAAAAAGTATGGAGAAATTGCTAACTAGAATAACCAGTTTAGGAAAGAACATAAATGACCTGATGGAGCTGAAAAACCCAGCATGAGAACTTCGTGAAGCATACACAAGTATCAATAGCTGAATCAATCTAGTGGAAGAAAGGATATCAGAGATTGAAGATCAACTTAAGGAAATAAAGCATGAAGACAAGATTAGAGAAAAAAAAGAATGAAAAGGAATGAAGAAAGCCTCCAAGAAATATGAGACTGAATGAAAAGACCAAACCCACATTTGATTGGTGTACTTGAAAGTGACAGGGAGAATGGAAAGAAGTTGGAGAACACTCTTCAGGATATTATCCAGGAGAACTTCCCCAACCTAGCAAGACAGGCCAACATTCAAATTCAGGAAATACAGAGAACACCACAAAGGTACTCCTCAAGAAAAGCAACCCAAAAACACATAATCATCAGATTCAACAAGGTTGAAATGAAGGAAAAAATGTTAAGGGCAGCCAGAGAGAAATGTTGGGTTTCCCATAAAGGGAAGCCCATCAGATTAACAGTGGATCTCTCTGCAGAAACTTTACAAGCCAGAAGAGAGTGGGGGCCAATATTCCACATTCTTAAAGAAAATAATTTTCAAGCCAGAATTTCATATCAAGCAAAACTAAGCTTCATAAGTGAAGTATAAATAAAATATTTTACAGACAAGCAAATGCTGAGAGATTTTGTCACCACCAAGCTTGCCTTACAAGAGCTCCTGAAGGAGGCACTAAATATGGAAAGAAACAATCGGTACCAGCCACTGCAAAAACATAACAGATTGTAAAGACCGTCAACACTATGAAGCAACTGCATCAACTAACAGGCAAAATAACCAGCTAGCATCATAATGACAGGATCAAATTCACACATAGCAATATTAACCTTAAATGTAAATGGGTTAAATGCCCCAGTTAAAAGACATAGACTGGCAAATTAGATAGAGTCAAAACCCATTGGTGTGCTGTATTCAGGAGTCCCATGTCACGTGCAAAAACACACATTGACTCAAAGTAAAGGGATAGAGGAATATTGACCAAGCAAATGGAAAGCAAAAAAAAAAATAAAAAAATAAAAAAAATCAGGGGTTGCAATGCTAGTCTCTGATAAAGCAGACTTTAAACCAACAAAGATCGAAAGAGCCAAAGATGGGCATTACATAATGGTAAAGGAATCAATGCAACAAGAAGAGCTAACAATCCTAAATACATATGCACCAAATACAGGAGCACCCAGATTCATAAAGCAAGTTATTAGAGACCTACGAAGAGATTTAGACTCCCACACAATAATAGTGGGAGACTTTAACACCCCACTGTCAATATTACACAGATCAATGAGACAGAAAGTTAAAAAGGATATCCAGGAGCTGAACTCAGCTCTGCAACAAGCAGACCTAATAGACATCTACAGAACTCTGAACCCCAAATCAACAGAATATATATTCTTCTCAGCACCACATCACACTTATTCTAAAATTGACCGCATAATTGGAAGCAAAACACTCCTCAGCAAATGCAAAAGAACGGAAATTATAACAGTCTCTCAGACCACAGTGCAATCAAATTAGAACTCAGGATTAAGAAACTCACTCAAAACCATACAACTACATGGAAACTGATCAACCAGCTCCTGAAGGACTACTGGGTAAATAACAAAATCAAGGCAGAAATAAATAAGTTATTTGAAACCAATGAGAATAAAGACACAACATACCAAAATTTCTGGGACACAGCTAAAGCAGTGTTTAGAGGGAAATTTATAGCACTAAATGCCGACAGGAGAAAGTGGGAAAGATCTAAAGTTGACAACCAAACATTGCAATTAAAAGAACTAGAGAAGCTAGAGCAAACAAATTGAAAAGCTAACAGAAGACAAGAAATAACTAAGATCAGAGCAGAAAAGAGGGAGATAGAGACAGGAAAAACTTCAAAAAATCACTGAATCCAGGAGCTGGTTTTTTAAAAAGATTAACAAAATAGACAGACCGTTAACCAGACTAATGAAGAAGAAAAGAGAGAAGAATCAAATAGACACAATACAAAATGATAAAGTGGATATCACAACTGATCCCACAGAAATACAAACTACCATCAGAGAATACTATAAAAACCTCTAAGCAAATAAACTAGAAAATCTAGAAGAAATGGATAAATTCCTGGACACATACAACCTCCCAAGACTAAACCAGGAAGAAGTCAAACGCCTGAATAGACCAATAACAAGTCCTGAAATTGAGGCAGTAATCAATAGAATACCAACCAAAAAAAGCCCAGGACCAAAGAAATTCACAGCCGAATTCTACCAGAAGTACAAAGAGTAGCTGGTACTATTCCTTCTGAAACTATTCCAAACAATAGAAAAAGAGGGACTCCTCCCTAACTCATTTTATGAGGCCAGCATCATCCTGATACCAAAACCTGGCAGAGACACATGCACAAAAAGAAAAATTCAGGCCAATATCCCTGATGAATATCGATGCAAAAATCCTCAATAAAATACTGGCAAACTGAATCCAGCAGCACATCAAAAAGCTTATCCCCCACCATTAAGTTGGCTTCATCCCTGGGATGCAAGGCTGGTTCAACATATGCAAATCAATAAACTTAATCCATCACATAAACAGAATCAATGACAAAAACCACATGATTATCTCAATACATGCAGAAGAGGCCTTTGATAAAATTCAGCATGGCTTTATGCTAAAAACTCTCAATAAACTTGGTATTGATAGAATGCATCTCAAAATAATAAGAGCTATTTATGACAAACTCACTGCCAATATCATACTGAATGGGCAAAAGCTAGACACATTCCCTTTGAAAACTGACACAAGACAAGGATGCCCTCTCTCACCACTCCTATTCAACATAGTATTGGAAGTTCAGGCAAGGGCAATCAGGTAAGAGAAAGAAATAAAGGGTATTCAAATAGGAAAAGAGGAAGTCAAATTTTCTCTGTTTGCAGATGACATGATTGTATATTTAGAAAACACCATCATCTCAGTCCAAAATCTCCTTAAGCTGAAAAGCAACTTCAGCAAAGTCTCAGGATACAAAATCAATGTGAAAAAACCACAAGCATTCTTGTACACCAATAACAGACAAACAGACAGCCAAATCATGAGTGAACTCCCATTCACAGTTGCTACAAAGAGAATAAAAGACCTAGGAATACAACTCACAAGAGATGTGAAGGACCTCTTCAAGGAGATCTACAAACCACTGCTCAAGGAAATAAGAGAGGACACAAACAAATGGAAAAACAGTTCATGCTCATGGATAAGAAAAATCAATATCATGAAAATAGCCATACTGTCCTAAGTAATTTATAGATTCAATGCTATCCCCATCAAGCTACCATTTACTTTCTTCACATATTAGAAAAAGCAAACTACTTTAAATTTCATATGGAACCAAAAAACAGTCTATATAGCCAAGACAATCCTAAGCAAAAAGAACAAAGCTGGAGGCATCACGCTACCTGACTTCAAACTATACTACAAGGCTACAGTAACCAAAACAGCACGGTACTGGTACAAAAGCAGATATAAAGACCAATGGAACAGAACAGAGGCCTCAGAGATAACGCCACACATCTACATCCATCTGATCTTTGACACACCTGACAAAAACCAGCAATGGGGAAAGGATTCCCTATTTAATAAATCGTGTTGGGAAAACTGGCTAGCCATATGCAGAAAACAGGAACTGGACCCCTTCCTTATACCTTACACAAAAATTAACTCAAGATGCATTAAATACTTAAATGTAAGTCCTAAAACCATAAAACCCTAGAATAAAACCTAGGCAATACCATTCAGGACATAGGCATGGCCGAAGACTTCATCACTAAAACACCAAAAGCAATGGCAACAAAAGCCAAAATTGACAAATGGGATCTAATTAAACTAAAGAGTTTCTGCACAGCAAAAGAAACTATCTTCAGAGTGAACAGGCAACCTACAGAATGGGAGAAAATTTTTGCAATCTATCCATCTGACAAAGGGCTAATATTCAGAATCTACAAAGAACTTAAACAAATTTACAAGAAAAAAACAACCCCATCAAAAAGTGGACAAAGGATATGAACAGACACTTCTCAAAAGAAGACATTTATGCAATCAACAAACATATGAATAAAAGCTCATTATCACTGGTCATTAGAGAAATGCAAATCAAATCCACAGTGAGATACCATCTCACACCCATTAGAATAGCAATCATTAAAAAGCCAAGAAACAACAGATGCTGGAGAAGATGTGGAGTAATAGGAATGCTTTTGCACTGTTGGTGGGAGTGTAAATTAATTCAACCACTGTGGAAGACAATGTGGTGATTCCTCAAGTATCTAGAACCAAAAATACCATTTGACTCAGCAATCCTATTACTGGGTATACACCCAAAGGATTATAAATCATTCTACTATAAAGACATATGCACAAGTATGTTTATTGCAGCACTATTCACAGTAGCAAAGACTTGGAACCAACCCAAATGCCTGACAATGATAGACTGGATAAAGAAAATGTGGCACATATACACCATGGAATACTATACAGCCATAAAAAAGGATGTGTTCATGTCCTTTGCAGGGAAATAGATGAAGCTGGAAACCATCATTCTCAGCAAACTAACACAGGAACAGAAAACCAAACACTGCATGTTCTCTCTCATAAGTGGGAGTTGAACAATGAGAACACGTGGACACAAGGAGGGGAACATCACACACCCTGGCCTGTCAGGGGTTCGTGGGACTAGGGGAGGGATAGCATTAGGAGAAATACCTAATGTAGATGATGGGTTGATGGGTGCAGCAAACCACCATGGCACTTGTATACCTATGTTACAAACCTGTATATTCTGCACATGTACCCCAGAACTTAAAGTAAAATTAAAAAATTAATAACTTTCCAAACTGACTTGCATAACCTTATTTAATGGCTGCATAATATTTTTTGGATATTTAAAAATTTATGTTACCATTCTCATATTTTTGGGCAATATCTATTTTTGCAATTGTAAGTATTCATGCAAAAGTGTGTTTGTAGTCTAATATTTCAAAACTTTGAAAGTTACTTATTTATGGTAAATTCACAGGAGAAGAATTATTGGGTCTAATATTTAAACATTTGAATAATATTAATATATATTGAAAATTGTCATTCAGAGATATAATATCAACATACACTTTTCTTATGAGCATATGAAAGTGTTTATTTATTTGTACCTTTGCCTAAATAGAGTGTGTGTGTGTGTGTGTGTGTATGTGTATGTTCTTTCAAACTTTATCAATTGTTCATATGGATTTCAATAAACATTAAGGGGCTGCTACTGTGGACAGTATAATGTCTGTGAGTACATTAGAGAAATATTTTACAGAGTGTGAGAATGCAAAGTAAGGACCAGTGATAATAAAGTTCTAGGTGTGCCCTTGTACACTCTTTTTTTCTTTCAAAATAACTTAAGAATTAAAATGAGATGGAGCAAATAAATATATTGATGTTATTTTATATGTAGGACAAGGTAGTGTGAAAAAATGAGATGGATAGAATGGACATAGGAAAGGCATAAAAAAAGATCGAAGTTTACCAACTTTTTAATGGAAAAACACACTAACCATCTATAAGATTCAGTTTTCCATTTGTTAAATGAGGCTATTAAGCCTATTTGTGTTTACGAGTGAAGATAATGTGTAAATACAGCAGATAGTGTGTAACCTTAGTGCATTTTCCTCAGCAAAATTTAATCCACGATTGGAAACTCCAACATTTGTGATTTTTTTCTAGAAGTAGAAAATCCCTTCAGATAAAGTTTGATGAAAGTAGATAGAGAGCTAGAAAAAAAATTGGTCCATTTGTTTTCAAAAGGCTAGATGTGACTTATTCCAAATCAGACAACAACAAAAAAGAAATGGTGGAGGAGAGGAGGGATTGTTAATGTGAAAGCAGTGTCTAGTTTATCCTCAAACTGAATAAACATGTTTTGTATTCAACATGCTTATTCAGAGAATTCCTGACATCTTTAACATCACAACCACCACCCATTACGTCATCTTCTTTTTTTTTTTTTTTTTTGAGACGGAGCCTCGCTCTGTCACCAGGCTGGAGTGCAGTGGCTCGATCTCGGCTCACTGCAACTTCCGCCTCCCGGGTTCAAGCAGTTCTCCTGCCTCAAGCCTCAAGCTGGGACTACAGGCGCCCACCACCACGCCTGGCTAATTTTTTTTGTTGTCGTATTTTAGTATAGACGGGGTTTCACCATGTGGCCCAGGCTGGTCTGAAACTCCTGAGCTCAGGCAATCCACCTGCCTTGGCCTCCCAAAGTGCTAGGATTACAGGCGTGAGTCACCGCGCCCCGGCCACGTCATCCTCATTTATAACCCTTAACTATTTGAGCTTGATCCTAAACAGAAAGAGTAAGATCCTTACCTTGCTGCAAAAAATTGCAAAATAAGATGGAAAAAACATAGTGTGTCAATAAATCATATCATACTATGATCAAAATCACAGAAGCCCCACTGCATATTCAGTATAGGGGGATTAATGCTGTTAATAATATGACAGCTGTGAACTGGAAGGAAATAGTATTTTGAAGATAGATCCTTGGTAAAGTGAAATATCAAAAACTTCTGAAAACTTGGAAAGAAAGCTCGATAAATTAGGACAAAGAATGAGCAAAATCTGTGAGAAATTTTATAGATGTAAGTCATATAAAGAGATGACTTCTTTTATGTAATACATTTTCTTAAAAGAAAATAATAAACCAGCCAGGAGGGGTGGCTCACGCTTGTAATCCCAACGCTTTGGGAGGCCAAAGCGGGCAGATCACTTGAGGTTAGCAGTTCCGAGACCAGCTTGCCCAATGTTGTGAAACCCCATCTCTACTAAAAATACGAAAACTAGCCTGGTGTGGTGATGTGCACCTGTAGTCTCAGCTACTTGGGAGGCTGAGGCAGGAGAATAATTTGATCCCAGGAGGTGGAGGTTGTAGTGAGCTGAGATTGTGTCACTGCACTCCAGCCTGGGTGACAGAGTGAGACTCCATCTCAAAAAAAAAAAAAAAAAGAAAAAAGAAAAAAAAGAGAAAATAATAAACCTTTAATTAAAGAGGCAACTTAAGAGATAGGATTAAATAATAACAGATCATTCAAGATGCTTCAGATTCTGAAGCACAAGTGACCACAAGCAATATATTATGTAAAAATATTCAGACACATTTTCATATATCTTCTCCATATTTCATAACATCACAAATACTTACCACACACACTCAAAAACTGTAAGACATAAAACTAAAAAGTTATCCTAACATGTATACTTGAAAGTTTTCACAGAGCAATTTGAAATATATTCTGGAATATCAGAAAGCCAGAAGTTTGGGGATAAGAATTATCTATGATTTGTAACACAATATTGGAAATAGTGGTCTAATTTTTGAGAAAATTCAAAAGTAAATTCAAGAGACTTTTATGATTAAAATGATAAGGCAAGTGAGGAAGAGAGAGGAATCAAGGCCACCTACAGTGAGCATCTGACTTTAGCAAAGGAGTCAATTGATGGTTCCTGGCACTGACTTGGGAGCCTAAAATAAAAAAGAACGTAGCCCTAGGAAGGTGATTAATTCAAGGTGAGGCAGTTTGAGTTTGAAGGATTTGTGAAACCTCCAGTGGAACTATGAAATAAAAAGCCCCATATGTAGCTATGGAGCTCAGAATAGAGGTCTCTGCTGGAGACAAAAACTTGAGAATCAGGAGACAAACGATCATTGTTTCGTGGGGTGAATGAGATCTATTTATTTAACAAGTATATATAGTATTTGATGTGAAGCAAGCACTCTCCTGAACGCTTTTACAAATATTAACTCATGTAATCCTCATAGTGACTATGAGGTGACTGTGAAGATTGGGAAGGAATATCCTAGAAGTGAACTCTGAACAACCAGGAGAAAAACAAGTATGAGAAAACTGAGAGGAAATGGCCAGCAAAGCAGGAGAAAACTTGGGAAGCCGCAGTTACACAAACACTAGGGGAAGTGATTATTGCCAGAAATTGTCATGAGTCAACAATGTCTAACGCACAGAGTGTTCCAGAGGGCAAGGGGTAAACACATGCATGGGATTTAATGACAATGGCATCACAAGTAACCTTCTAAAATATTTTAGCGTGAGGGGGCAGCAGCAAGTGAGATGGGGTAGGAACAGGAACAGAGGCTATGAAAACAGAAATTTAGGATGCTATTTTATAAATCTGTGCTGAAAAGTAACAGACAGAATTTGAAGAGAAAAATTTTATGAAGGTTATAGTTGTATATGGTTAAAAAGGGAGAGTCAAAAGCTGTAAGAAAAGTAAAATAAATAGCAGATGCGAACCCAGGCACAGGTGAAAAGAGTTTAACTGTGGGCTGAATAAAAGATGTATTTCCCATTAAAATGATAGGTTTTCTTGGTGGGGGATACAAATACATTTTTAAAGTGTGTGTAATGAATGTGTGTTTGTGTGTGTGTGTGTGTGTTTTGCCAGGGGAAACAAAGAAACAGAAACAGAGAGAGAGATGAGAAAGTTGCTGAAGAGCAGATAGGAAGACGAAAAATTTCTTGCTGTGATTAAATTTTGTGTACAAGAAAGAGATTGAGATTGTCTTTCAGAATGACAAGAAGCAGTAGACTTTTAAAAATGTGAAGGTTTGATGTTCTCTCTAGGTAAAATAAAATGGAGCATTAATAATTTAGCATTAAAAGATTTCTGGGGCTGGACGCTGCGGCTCATGCCTGTAATCCCAGCACTTTGGGAGGCCAAAGTGGCTGGTCACGAAGTCAGGAGTTTGAGACAAGCCTGACCAACATGGTGAAACCTCTCTCTACTAAAAATACAAGAATTAGCTGGGCGTGGTGGCGTGTGCCTGTAAACCCAGGTACTCAGGAGGCTGAGGCAGGAGAATTGCTTGAACCCGGGAGATGGAGGCTGCAGTGAGCTGAGATTGTGCCACTGCACTCCAGCCTGGGTGACAGGGTGAGACTTAGTCTCAAAAAAAAAAAAAAAAAAATCTGGGCTGCTGGAATCCCAACTATAAATTAATAGTAACTTCTGCTGCCTTAAAAATTCAGCATTTCTCCCCTCCAGATACAGGAATTTAATATTTGAATGATTATATTTGGATTTTGTTAACTGGACAGAGATAAAGAACAAAAGAAGCAAGACTTTGACAGGTGCTGGTAAGAGGAAATATATAAATGGTTTAAATGGTTTATTACTTAATCATCAACTAATCATTTTTTCTACATGTGTTCTTTCAATGTTTAGAAATGTAGATAATACTTCAAATTAGTAATATCACACTTGGGAATTAAAAATATTAAAATGGCTATGTGCACGTTCATATTTATTTTACTAGAGAAAATAAAATTACATTTTAAACAATGTAGATTTCCAACATAATTAAAGTTATTAGATATGGTGGCACATCCATCTACCGAATTTAATATACACTAAGTTAAACTGGCAGTGATAATGACTAGAAGATAATTTGGGAATAATCCACATGATACGAATTTGAAATGCTGTACACAAAAATAGATGCATAATTTAAGATCAACCAAGTAAAAAACTGGTGTTCATGGAGAAAAAGATGGTTTGGTAACAGAAAATACTTTAGGTCAATGAGATTATGAATTCATTTTCATAGTTTCTCTTCTACTTAAAAGAAGTTTAGTCATCTGGTTTGTTTGCTCATGAAACATTCTCTGCTACATTAGAGAGTGAGAAGACTCTTTAATATGTTCATAAATCCAGCTCTCAGAGAAGGTTAGCCTACACCCACCTAAAGAATAAATCACCATTAACCCACATTAATCATGGTGATTCCATTAACTTTATAGTGTTTGGTTTAGATATCTCTATATGAACTCTGGCTAACAAGTTGAGAGGGGATGTAGCTGCATGGTTGGGGATGGGGTGATTTTGAAAATTCTCCTTGCTGTGAATGCAGCTATATGGGAAGAACCACAAGGTATCTCCTCCTTCTATTTGTCCTGTCTGTAAGTGACACTTGTTACTGAAGCTGCAATCTTGTAACATTGAGGCAGACAAACTAAAAATAAAATTTATCTGCTGTGTATGATGGAAATAAAAATATAGGAAAAACCTGGTTCCTTGTTGAAGGAACCAGTCTTGAAGCAGCTTACCTCTGTATTTTGTACCTCTAATGCAGGCTAATAAATTTAAGCTAATTATTTATGCTACCTGTGCTGTGGTGGTTTCCTATCAGCAGCCAAATATAACCTCACAGTTGTTTTGCTGTTTTTGCTTTCACAAAAGAGCTATTAACCAACTTAAAAATGTTTTTTGATTGAAGGATGCTTAGGGGATGAGAGGATATCAACAATATAAGCCCATGCCAAATCCCCATTTCTTATCATTAAAACTGACCTGACATTAAAGCAATGCTTAATTTTTTACCATAAGAGTGAAATTTTGGGATTATAATTTTAAAGTGTAAAATATTTACACTTAAATTACACTTATAATTTTAAAGTGTATAATATTTACACAGATTAAAATAAAATATGGGAAACAATGAAGCAAAACATTCTAAACTTGAAAAGTAAATTGATATTACAAACACAGAGTGACTTAAAAACAAACAAAAACAACAAAAATCAAACCTCCGTTATAATTGCAGATTTGTTGACTAAATGTTTACTAAAAGACTGGCTAGCTTGAGCCCAGGGGGCGAAGGTTTCAGTGAGCTGAGATTGTGCCACTGCGCTCCAGCCTGGGCAACAGAGCAAGACTTCATCTGGAAAAAAAAAAAAAAAGACTCGCTAAAGGGAAATTTCTTTTTGGATTTGGCTCTTTTTACAGGAAGTCATACTTTTCTGGAGAACTACTTGATGAAAAATTTCTTAACCTTACTTCATGAATCAAATCACAACTCTTTCTACATTTTAGATTGTGAAAATCTCACTGATAAGAAAAAATAATTGTTTCTCTTGGCCAGGTGCAGTGACTCACATCTATAAAACCAGCACTTTGGGAGGCCAAGGCGGGCGGATCACCTCAGGTCAGGAGTTTAAGACCAGCCTGGCCAACATGGCGAAACCCTGACTCTTCTAAAAACACAAAAATAAGCCGGTTGTGGTGTGCGCCTGTAATCACAGCTCCTCGGAGGCTGAGGCAGGAGAATCGCTTGAACCCGGGAGGCGGAGGTTGCAGTGAGCCGTGATCGTGCCACTGCGCTCCAGCCTGGGTGACAGAGGGAGACCCTGTTTCAAAAAAAAGAAAAAAGAAAAAGAAAAATAATTGTTTCACTCTTTTAAGTACAAAAGTAATTGTACATAGTTTTTTAAAGGAGGGAAGTCTCTTCCAAGAATAAAACTGTTCACTGTATAGAATTAATATTTTTGTTATTCATAGTATTAAAAGAAAATCCCTTGGAGAGGAAATAGCAATACCAGGCAAAATGAGTATATATTTTTATGTTACAACACAATAGCATATAGCATATGCAAACTATTTATTTAAATAATTTTAAAGCTAAAATGGAGATGAGGTCACACATTTATACACTGCTAGAGCTAAAAACAATCATAGAAATAAGTATCTGAAATATCCAGATTTTTTAAATACAAAAACTGAAGCTCAGGAAATTGATTTTTTCACCCCAGAGTCTTACATTTACATATTGGCAATGTTTCAACTCAGACATAGGAATGTGACCATTCAAGGAAAGGGCAACTGCAAAGCTTCAAAAGACACGCTATTCTCACAAATATTTTCCTTTTTGTCACCTAAAGTAAATTTCAGATTACTTACAATCTCTAGAAATTAACATTTCATTAAACCATAACTAGGAAATGTGTATTTAATATTTGAGCAAAAGTTAAGAAACATATTTAAACTTAATTAAAACAAAAATAAATTAAAGAAAATTAATTAAAACAAATTTTTATGTAATGTTTTGAGCCAAAGTTAAGAAATTTAATTAAAACAAAATCATTTTTGGTGTTTATGTTTTTGATAGGTAAAAATAATTTTCTCCTACCAAATAACAGGAAATATTAATATTTATTGCCAATTAAGAGAGGAATGTGAGTCCTGGAAGTGGAGAAGTGAAACTGAGAGGCAATAAGGGGGAAGGGGGAGAAGAGATCATTAGAAAATTAAGAACAGGGCAAATGTAAACATGTAAACACATTTCTTAAAATTTGCAATTGAAATCTGAAGAGAATGTGATATACTATAGATCTCCACTACTAAGAATACAACGAACACATTGAAATAAAAAAGAAACACATAATAAAGGAAATAATGCCAATGTTTCTTTTTATAGTAATGAATAGTATTTTAATATGCCTGTTCTATGTATAGTTGTCCATAACTACTAAAACTCTCTAAAAATGAATGGAATTATTTTGTCTGGACTTTATAGTTAAATTTGTAAGTTTTTTTTTTTTTTTTTCAGAAAAAGATTACATTGTTTTCTTTGAATGAATTCACCTTTCTTCATCAAAACTACTGATTTCCATACTAACTAAATTTGTTTAAAAGCAAAGCTCTTTATGGTATGTTATCGTCATTTCCTTAAGAGGGGAAAAAAAACAAATAAAAGTTAGCATTACATATCTGAACCAAACGGAGGTTTTCAAGAATAAAATTCTGCACAACTACAAAACTAGTAGCTCCAAATGAAAGGAAATGGAATAAAAAACGAATGCAAGATAATACAATGAATTTTTGGCATGAGAGGAAAAAAAAAGAATAATATATTAAATGTGTATTTCTCTATTATAATTACCATACATATTAAAAATGAGAATGATATAGAGAGATTGAGAAACCTGTGGCTACTTTTGGCTATTTTACCTGCTTTTTGTATTTGCTCTTCTAGGTACCTGTTATTGAGTGAGATAAGCAAATGGTATTTCAGGACCAAAACATCTGTTTCCTGAAGAGTTGCTCCTTTAATTGTGTATCTACCTACCTGTCTATGTAACTCTTGGTAAATGAATTAATTTGTTAGTTAAAATCAATCTATTAATTCATAATGAATGGGATATCTTGTGGGAGGTACATGTGCTTTGCAAATACATGGAAAGACGAGACTTTCCTAACAGGTTCTGGAATTCAGGTTGATATTACCTTTTTAAAAATTTTTAAGGATTAATAGCTAAAAAGATCAAGTCAGTTTCTTCATTTCTCCTGAAGGCCTGTTTCCATCAGATTTTATCTCTGCCTAGGCAAATACATTGGAGACTTCTCAACTTTCTGCTTCTGATGATCTCAACTTGTGGTATGGCAAAAGGAGAGCAAAATGTTCACCCAGGTATGGGAATTTCTCACAAAAATGTTACTTTATTATATTTAGGGGAAAAAGGGGGCAAAATCTACACTCATAATACCTGAGACTGGATTTCTAGAACCTTTTGGTTTCAGATTTATGATGAATTAGAAAACTTCCTGATTAGAAAAATGTTATAGTTTCAAATATTAGCTAAAATTTTTATCTGTAAGTACAATAAACATGACAAATAATGATCAGTGTTTTCACTCCTATTAAGGAGAGTATTTTTAGTAATAAAAATAAGCCTTAATGTGAAAAAGCTAAGAATTCATGATTGCTTCTAATGACAAGTATCTGGGAGGGGTCTGAGTTTGGTTCAAGAGAGGAACTACAGCTGTTGGTGACTACAACCATCTGCCCAGATGACATCGTGATCAACTCCTCTGAATCACTCTAAAGGAACGAGAAGTCCTGGCAGCTGAGTCATGATCCCCCAGGAGCCATTAAGAAGTTAATCTTCAGTCACTTCCATCCAAACAGAAGAAAACCCATGAAGGATGAGAACTATGGGTCCTGAGAATGACAGGTAATTGGTGCCACTTTATTCACAGAATCCAATAAATAGTACTCTTTGATTCACATATTTAATGCTCATTATTGTACATTTTTATAAAGACAAGTTAGTCTAAATTGCCATTCATCTCTTTCTTATCAAAGTCCTACCCAACACATGATCATATCATCAGAAATCAGATATTTTCTTGTTGAATGCCCTACCTAACTCATTCAATTGTAATTTTCTGGGAATGGTGACCAGAGATTTGATATTTTTGGAAGTTACATCAAATCCTCATTACTTTATAAGTGATTTAAAATTTATCACATGGTACACTTTTCATATCTTTCAAAGGATTAATATATAAAAAATATATAGTTAATGCTCAGCTTTAAAGACATTAAAGGACAGAGTTATACAGAAAGAAAGATCCAGAGATCTTTCTTTAATAAAGATATTAAAATTGAATCTGCTTATTCAAGTATAATGATAGAACAGAAAGAGATCTTAAAATTGTTTAATCTCTTCCTTGGCTTTCAAAAATATAAAGTCTTCTTTATTGGAGATTTCTTTATCCATAGAATATCTTAATTCCCCACTCCCCAACTTCCTCCCCATGTGAAGTTTTATCTGTCTTTAAAATATTTGTGTTGTCTTCTTCAGGATATATCATTGATTGGCACTTTTTGATTCTAGTTTTATATACTGTTATCCTTGTATATTAAAGTAGGTCTCAAATATATCTTTCATGGTGGTGTGTAAGGTTCTGAGAGAGCTGGAAAAAAGGTATAAGCTCCCTTCTAAAGTGCAAGTATATACTTGCAGAGATATTTTTTCACTTACATTCTTGGAGATCATCCATGGTCTCCCCATGTCTTTTACAAAAGAGGTTTCCAGCACCTATTAGGGAAGCTAGATGGTCACTTGTATCTTCCTTATCTCTGTATTAGATGATAATATCGAATGCAGGTAAGTGGTGGTGGGGAGAGTAATATTGACAGAATAGTTATATGGCAAACATTGGCACCTCAGAAATTTTTTGCTTTTTTGAGGGCTCTTATTAATATTTGCAAACTTTAAAAAGCCTTGAAAAGAGTTTTATCCAGAGCTCACCACATATAGAAAAACAGATCTCTCTTGTTATGGGAATTGAGGCTAGTCCAAATTCCCCCAGATTAAACATCTTTCCTCATTTGGCACATTCTTCAGCTGTTCCTTAAGAAAAAATCATACTAAGGAAAGTTAATTCTGGGAAGTCTAGAATTAGAATAAAATTATTACACTAAAAGGAAAGCCCAGATATCTCTTTAAAAATGCTTAATTTTTTTGAAAACTCACATCAGCACCAGATCATTTCTTTAATGTGTACAGATTTCCTTTCTTCATTGACTAAATAGCTTTGCTAAACGAGATTAAAACCACATAACTCAAATGAGACATATAAGATCTTGAATAATGTTCACATAGCTACAACATCAAATTCCAGTGCTAATATAAATTATGTCTACTACGTTTTCATTTATTTGGGATTATCTGTTTGCCTCAAGTGGTGTAAAAAAATTGAGCAGGAACCACCTGAAACTTCCTTTCACAACAAGAGAAAGTTGTAATTTGTATTTACTTTACCTAGCTTTCTTTATATGAATGTAGCCAAGAAGCAGGGGAGGAAGGACAATTACAGGAAATTGTGATAGGAAACTATTAGGAAAAGCAATTTGTAATTTCTGCTAAAACTCTAGGTAAATAACCCTGAGCATTCATAGTCTGGCAAGTGGGAAGTACCTGTTGAACAAGTGATCACTTGATTGATTTTAAGCATGTGGAGCTCATTTGTCATCTAAAATATAGAAGAGAGTGAGATATTAGCTTCCTGAATAGCTATTGTTATTTAGAAAAAATAATGAACCAATAAACTTCTTACATAAGATGAAATAACTGTTTTCTAGAAACAGTGATCTTATGTTCTTCATTGTATAAACACTTATGTACTCATATCACATAGCTCCTGGGATACAATAAACAATAAATGTATGTTTATCTTATTTAGGCAAACTAAAAGTTACAGGCTCTGTGCCCTTAAATTTTTAAATTTATATTCATCTTTTGTTTTTTAAGGTGTTATGAAAATACAATTTTAAAAGCCCTTCTATTTCTAACCACCATGTATTAACAGGGATTGGATTTTTCCACCCACCTGAAATAAGTAAAAAAAAAAGACAAAATATAAGAAATTATATTGGTCAGTGGAGAGCAGTGATTTCATAGAGATGAGAAACAAGTGTTTAGCCCCACATTTGTACATTTGTTCCACCAGACTGAGTGGAGACTCAGTTTAGTTTCTATATGAAAGCTCAGGGAGGAGGAACTCTACAAGAACCCAGTGGTCTCGCTGAGTTTGGGAGACAAAGCAGACAGTCTCAGGAGGTAGTTAGGGTATATAGTACCGAACGTCAGAGAGGACAGAGTTACACAGAAAGAAAGATCCAGAGATCTTCAGATGGACTTCTAGGCTTCAGCTCAATATTGATCTGTTGCATTCATAAGAGAAAAGTCTAAAGACTGGGTGAAGCACCACCTAAAAGGGTTAGAGGGGCCCACACATGTAAAGCAGGGAATATTTTTTGTTCCCAAGTTGCAAAACTCTCAGTTCATGGAGCATTAAGTATAGTACTCAGGTGTTTGCAACAGTAGTAGGAAAAAATTAACCATAGAATAAACAATTCTCTGGTCTTGCCTAACAAAGTTTAATAGCAAGACAACAAAATAGGAAACAGTTTCCAAGTACTTTAACTACATCCCAGAAGAGAGCTCAAGGATATTTATAGAAATACAACATATACCAACACCCAATAAGGTAAAATTCATAATATTAGGCAACCACATCAAAATTACTAGGGATGCAAAGAACAGTAGAATATAACTCATAATGAGAAAAGTCTAAATGACAGAAATGACATCAAAAACAGAATTAGCAGACAAAAATATTAAAAATGTAAAGTATTTTCCATATGTCCAAAAAACTAGAGAAAAGTTGTATTACATTTTAATATAACCATTGTGATTCATTTTCTGAGATGAAAATTAATCTTTGAAGCTTCCTAAATGGACTTTAAAATATTACCAAAATATTCATAATAAACACCATTATTCTGGAGACTTACCCTGTTTCTGAGATTTACTCTGTTTTTAAGCCTTGGGAAATGAGGAATGAGGAATGAAGTGATGCTTACAGATGAATTATCATAGAATTCAAGGACTGGATAGAAATAGATAAGGGTCAAGAAGAGGAGAAGAGATAGACTAGGTTGGCAGCAGTGTGGTGGCAGCACTTGAGGGTGTGGTATATTTCGAGGGTGTCAAAGGCACATTGTGCTTGGTAATAAAAACTGTTTACATTTTATCAGTGTCCTACTGATGAATACTTTCACATTTCTGATGTTGAAATAGCTTTCTTATGCCCTAATAAGCAATATATAATATTTTTTACTCACATATTGACTGGGTAATTCCTTGCAATAATTCCAAGTCTACACAGAGACCTGTGGTCCATCACATGGAACAATTGGGATAGTTGTACTGCAGCATTGGAACTTCTATTATGGGCCATGATGTCCTTATATTCTTTTGTTTTTGAAGTAATTTTAACACCTGGTTGTTCCAACTAAGAGAGGACATAGCATCCCAAATAGAGGCTTAAAGAGAAAACAGTGGATTTGACATGGGCCCATACTTTCTGTTATTGTCGGTTTGAGGAAGAAGAAAAGTAGAGGTGAAGAAGTTGCCTTCAGCAACTGGTAGCTACTGGTAGTTGAATCTCAGGCTGTGGTTCTACTTGGCACCTGACACTTGGAGAAGTGAAGACAGGGAGAGAAAGGTAATGGGAAGACTGGGCCCCCGGAATTGATACATAACACCAAGAAAGCAGTCAGTGAGGATTTCAGAAAGCCAGGAAAGATGGTCTATTATGAAGAGAACTTGCTGGAAACACTTGAACACTTCCCTGTTTCTGGTGAGATTTGATATCCAGAAACACATGTCTATTGAATTCAAGTTTCTCCTAATGCACATTGTAGCAATCAGAAAGAATTATAGTACTGCTATATTTCTATAAAAGATAGCAGAATCTACCTTTGACACTAATGCATGAAAATATATTTGTGTTTTAAAAAGGCAGCCTGCCAAATTTAATTCCTAAAATGAGTTAAT
The DNA here is from genome assembly GCF_000001405.40 of Homo sapiens. Lineage (NCBI taxonomy): Eukaryota > Metazoa > Chordata > Mammalia > Primates > Hominidae > Homo > Homo sapiens. The sequence continues at coordinate 187,551,884 of NC_000002.12, forward strand.
TGCTATAGATGGTAAACAAAAAAGGATGGCTGGTTGTAGAAGGCCTTTATTGAGAATAGATGAGTTGTATTGTAGTACAATTCTTAGATCATGTCCACATAGAAAAAAATAAATTGATGATATAATTAACCCATTTTAACCTATATTATAATTCAATTTAATTAATTTATACTGATAAGATTTTTTTGAAAATCCTAGTCTAAGTAATTTTCTTCACTTTTCATATTGTCTGTTCCTTTTTATTTTTTGTAAGGATGTTTACTTTGCATTTTTTTTCTTGTATTAGGTAGAGATATCAGTTGAAAGATACCTTAAAATTTTGTGACACTGAATTTAATCAGCCAACCATTCCTAAGGAATTGATAGCATATTTACTATTTGGTTAGATGGATAGGCACTCTGGCATTAAATTAAGTCTCTAAAGTTGGCATTTTTTCTCCATTAGTTTGCCATCCTGCCCACTTACCTCTTGAATTTGAAAGATGTAAACAAAAGATTTCTAAAGATTAGAAAATTAATTTTTAAGATAATTAAGCTGTTTTGAAAATTAGAGTTTATTACAAAATATGTTATCATTTTATGTATTATTAATTTAACAATAAGTTTTATGACAGAAGATTTAAGTCAAAATAGTTGTACAATCAACAAGCAAATGATAATCATTTCCTTAAATGATTATCTGACTGATAAATGGACAATCAGTCAGACCATCAAACACCAGTTGATAACATAATCCATTTGGACAGGAACCACATTTCCAAAGGAGTTTTGATTTAGTCATTGGTGGTAAAACAAAAGATATCAGACTGTACCTTAAAAACAAAGAAACAAAACAAAACAAAAACTTGTCCAATTCAGTATACCTAATAGAGATAGGAATCAAATAGTAGTATATGTCATTAAACTTTTCCAACAAGATTCTGTGGTCACTTGAAGTAGAAAAACTTGGTTTTCCAATATAACTACTCAAATCAGTAAAAATAAATATTTTAAAGTTTTACTCTTATTTTAAAATTACTTGATTAGTTATCTGTATTTACATTAATATTTTTCAATCTTTGTTGATCCCTAATTATATTTCATATAATTTTATTAAGCTGTAGGCCACAAATTAACATTTCAAACTCAGCCAAATTTCAGGGACTATCCCTCTTTAGTTTAAGGATTAGATGAGATATGGACACTGTATATTGAAATAATCATGCACTAGAATGATAGATTTAAAATAATCTTTAAAATGTGTTAGGGAGATTTTGCCTCCCTAACACATTTTATTCAAAAGTTTTGCAGTATCTCTCAAAATTGTCACAACTTTCCCCCTTTCATGTAAATATTATGCTTTTACACATGAAATATGACTCTCTGGGCAGTATGTTTCCTGCTTGAGTTTTGCCCTTTGTGTTTATATTATCTCATGTTATACAAAGTCATTTTGTGACTAATTTCCAGAGCACTGAGTCACAGTGTGGCTGTTGCTTATCTTTTCTTTTTTCCCACATGGTAGTACTCTTGGCCCTTATTTTTGGTAATTATTTTATACTAATGAGTGCTTTTTCATAATTAAATAATTGTTTCTCTCATTATATTTCTGTGGTTGTTTACTGCTGTATTATATGCTTTCATTTTTCACTAGAAGCAAACATTTTATAACAGGAACATAACAGTACATCATGTAGGCATGTTATCTATTGTTTTAATTTACAAAATTGCACAACATAGACTTGATCGTAAGTATTCTCGTTTAAGTATCTCAGAATATGACCTTTGGTCTTTGGAGAATTGTAAAATATTTCCTTAGAGAGATTAGTTAATGCTGGCATAAAATATTCCATTTAGATTACGATTATTTTAATGGTTATACCTCATTTTAAATATCATCAACTAATAGTATTGAAAGATTATTTGAATAGAAGAATAACAGTCTCTATTTTATATGTTATGAAATAAAATGGAAAGGTAAACCGAACTTTCAAGAACTTCCAATTAACCAAGCACAATTAGTAAAGAATTCTACTACAATCTTCAAATTATAAAAAAGCTACATACACCAATTAGTTACAAAAATGTTTATGGTTTAAAATCATAAAAATTGCACATAAATTTGCTTAAGAACTAAATGCAAAATGCTGAGAACTCAAGTTTGGATTGCAGTTTGAGTTTACTCTGTTTACAGGGAAGGGCTGATTTTCATTTTACGCAAATAAACAGTGATCCTCCCCTATCAGTTCTTTGCCTCTCAGCACCCTGCTTTTCCCCCGAGAAAAAGAAATTAAAGTTATTTCTTATGGGCTAGACAGTATATTGCCAGGTACTCACAAGTAAAATCTCTGATGAAAGTTCTTGGAATGTTTTTTTCAAAACGGAGTTGAGGTTATTTTGTTTTTCCTTCCAGGTATTGAAGACAGGATTTATCTTCTCTACTTCTTCTTTTAGAAGCAGATCAAGAAACTGGCGATTGAAGAGTAACTGAAAGAAACGCAATCTGATCTTACTAGCAGTGAAAGAGCGAGGTAAGAATTTGACTATTATCCAGCCTAAAGTCGCTGCTGTCTGTTAGAGCAAAGAGGGAGCCTCAGAGTCGGCTTCAGAGATCACTGGCAGTTGGGAATAGCCCAACTTCCTGTTTAGGTCACTGCAACTCTGACTCTATTTAGTCTAAACCTCTTTTTTCTTTCTTTCTTTCTTTTTTTTAGTGGAGGAAACAGATGAAGGAAACAGCTTACACCAAGATTTCAGATACGATCATTTTGAATAGCTATTTCCTTTACTTTCCAGGATTGTTTTTGTAATCAGTTGAAAAAGAATGCTTTTTTCCCCCTAGAGTTAGGGTTTAAAAAATTACATATTTATTATTACACTGTTAATAAGCTTTTTTGCAGTTTGTTTCTTCTTCAAGTTATTTCATTTGTTTCACCCACTGTCAATGTATTTATTTTTTTTAAAAGTCTGAGGGCTACCGTTGGAGGTCTCTCTTAGTGAGACAATGTAATGCATTATCTATTGCAGGTGTCAGGCTTTGAGCCCTACCTTAGCTACTTGCTAACTTGGCTACTCAGCCCAGTTATTTGAATTCACTATGCCTCAGTTCCTTTGTTCCTAAAATGTCGATAATAAAAGTTTCTGGGCTTGATGTAAGTACTAAATGGCTTAATACATAAAAAGTACTTAAGGCAGGACCCAGCATGTAGCAAACCTCCAATAATTGTTGGCTATCATTATCGCTGTTTTCTGTATTTCTATTATTATTATTCTACAAAATATGTAAATATTTACAGATGTCAACCAGAGTCTCTGCTGTATGTCCCTATCATTGAGGTTCATCCGTACTGTCTCTGTATTGGAATTATGGTCATATCAGACTAAGATCACTAGAGATCTAATAAATGGGCAGAATCTACTTTGCCAGGAAGGCTGAAGACATTTGGTCAGAAAATGTAGGAGTTTCTTGCTTCTGCATCTCAGATTCTTTGTGCCTTCAATTTTTCTTGCTTTCCTTAGACCTCTCTGTAAAAGGTAACCTTTCATCTTGAGTGTTTTTAATACATATTGAATAATTATTTGGTGGTGACTGGAACATAAATTATCGATTTAATTCTCACAACTAGCTTATAAAGAAGGTCCTCTTTGTATGCCCATTTCACATGTCTAGGAAGATCGAGTTCAGTATGTGGAGCTGTGATTCTAATGTCATGCAGTCTGCCTTTAGAGCAAAAATGCATAAATCCTCCTCCATGCTGCCTTCTCACTCATGTTCTGGATTTCATATCATGTTAATAACTTATCTCCTATTACCTCATGCCCTGCCCCTCAACCACAATCAAAGCTATCATCTCACTCAGATTGTAGAGGAAAGTCCTTTTTTCTTGGTACCACCATGGACCTTGATTAAACTTTTGAGGAATCTGTAGCTCAGGTAGAGGCAAGCTCAGCCAATCAGATTTTCTTTCTTGAAAGTTTCGCCTCTCCTCCCTCTCCCTCTCCCTCTCCCTCTCCCTCTCCGTCTCCCTCTCCCTCTCCCTCTCACGGTCTCCCTCTCCCTCTCTTTCCACAGTCTCCCTCTGATGCCGAGCAGAAGCTAGACTGTACTGCTGCCATCTCAGCTCACTGCAACCTCCCTGCCTGATTCTCCTGCCTCAGCCTGCTGAGTGCCTGCAATTGCAGGCGCGCCGCCACGCCTGACTGGTTTTCGTATTTTTTTGGTGGAGACGGGGATTCGCTGTGTTGGCCGGGCTGGTCTCCAGCTCCTAACCGCGAGTGATCCACCAGCCTCGGCCTCCTGAGGTGCCGGGATTGCAGACGGAGTCTGGTTCACTCAGTGCTCAATGGCGCCCAGACTGGAGTGCAGTGGCGTGATCTCAGCTCGCTACAACCTCCACCTCCCAGCCGCCTCCCTTGGCCTCCCAAAGTGCAGAGATTGCAGCCTCTGCCCGGCCGCCACCCCGCCTGGGAAGTGAGGAGCGTCTCTGCCTGGCCGCCCATTGTCTGGGATGTGAGGAGCCCCTCTGCCTGGCTGCCCAGTCTGGAAAGTGAGGAGTGTCTCTGCCTGGCCGCCATCCCATCTAGGAAGTGAGGAGCGCCTCTTCCCGGCCGCCATCCCATCTAGGAAGTGAGGAGCCTCTCTGCCCAGCCGCCCATCGTCTGAGATGTGGGGAGCGCCTCTGCCCCGCCGCCCCGTCTGGGATGTGAGGAGCGCCTCTACCCCGCCGCGACCCCGTCTGGGAGGTGAGGAGCGTCTCTGCCCGGCGGCCCCGTCTGGGAAGTGAGGAGACCCTCCGCCCGGCAGCCGCCCCATCTGAGAAGTGAGGAGCCCCTCTGCCCAGCAGCCACCCTGTCTGGGAAGTGAGGAGCGTCTCTGCCCAGCAGCCACCCCGTCTGGGAGGGAGGTGGGGGGTCAGCCCCCCGCCCGGCCAGCCGCCCCGTCCGGGAGGTGAGGGGCGCCTCTGCCCGGCGGCCCCTACTGGGAAGTGAGGAGCCCCTCTGCCCGGCCAGCCGCCCCGTCTGGGAAGTGAGGAGCGTCTCCGCCCAGCAGCCACCCCGTCCGGGAGGGAGGTGGGGGGATCAGCCCCCCGCCCGGCCAGCCGCCCAGTCCGGGAGGGAGGTGGGGGGGTCAGCCCCCCGCCCGGCCAGCCGCCCCGTCCGGGAGGTGAGGGGTGCCTCTGCCCGGCCGCCCCTACTGGGAAGTGAGGAGCCCCTCTGCCCGGCCAGCCGCCCGGTCCGGGAGGGAGGTGGGGGGGTCAGCCCCCTGCCTGGCAAGCCGCCCCGTCTGGGAGGGAGGTGGGGGGATCAGCCCCCCGCCGGGCCAGCCACCCCGTCCGGGAGGTGAGGGGTGCCTCTGCCCGGCCGCCCCTACTGGGAAGTGAGGAGCCCCTCTGCCCGGCCAGCCGCCCCATCCGGGAGTGAGGTGGGGGGGTCAGCCCCCTGCCCGGCCAGCCGCCCCGTCCGGGAGGTGAGGGGCGCCTCTGCCCGGCCGCCCCTACTGGGAAGTGAGGAGCCCCTCTGCCCGGCCACCACCCCGTCTGGGAGGTGTACCCAACAGCTCATTGAGAACGGGCCATGATGACAATGGCGGTTTTGTGGAATAGAAAGCGGGGAAAGGTGGGGAAAAGATTGAGAAATCGGATGGTTGCCGTGTCTGTGTAGAAAGAGGTAGACATGGGAGACTTTTCATTTTGTTCTGTACTAAGAAAAATTCTTATCCTGTTGATCTGTGACCTTACCCCCAACCCCGTGCTCTCTGAAACATGTGCTGTGTCCACTCAGGGCTAAATGGATTAAGGGCGGTGCAAGATGTGCTTTGTTAAACAGATGCTTGAAGGCAGCATGCTCGTTGAGAGTCATCACCACTCCCTAATCTCAAGTAACCAGGGACACAAACACTGTGGAAGGCCGCAGGGTCCTCTGCCTAGGAAAACCAGAGACCTTTGTTCACTTGTTTATCTGCTGACCTTCCCTCCACTATTGTCCTATGACCCTGCCAAATCCCCCTCTGCGAGAAACACCCAAGAATGATCAATAAAAAAATAAAATAAAATAAAATAAAATAAAATAAATAAAGTTTCATGCGCATCCGTGTGAAGAGACCACCAAACAGGCTTTGTGTGAGCAGCATGGCTGTTTATTTCACCTGGGTGCAGGCGGGCTGAGTCCGAAAAGAGAGTCAGCCAAGGGAGATAAGGGTGGGGCTGTTTTATAGGATTTGGGTAGGTAAAGGAAAATTACAGTCAAAGGGGGTTTGTTCTCTGGCGGGCAGGAGTGGGGGCCGCAAGGTGCTCAGTGGGGGTGCTTTGAGCCAGGATGAGCCAGGAAAAGGAGTTTCACAAGGTAATGTCATCAGTTAAGGCAAGGACCGGCCATTTACACTTCTTTTGTGGTGGAATGTCATCATTAAGGTGGTGCAGGGCATATTCACTTCTTTTGTGATTCTTCAGTTACTTCAGGCCATCTGGGCATATACGTGCAGGTCACAGGGGATGCATGGCTTGGCTTGGGCTCAGAGGCCTGACACTCCTGCCTTCTTATATTAATAAGAAAAATAAAACAAAATAGTGTTGAAGTGTTGGGGCAGTGAAAATTTTTGGGGGGTGATATGGCGAGAGAATGGGTGATGTTTATCAGGGCTGCTTCAAGCGGGATTAGGGGCGGCGTGGGAACCTAGAGTGGGAGAGATTAAGCTGAAGGGAGGTCTTGTGGTAAGGGGTGATATTGTGGGGATGTTAGAAGAAACATTTGTCGTATAGAATGATTGGTGATGGCCTGGATACGGTTTTGGATGAATTGAGAAACTAAATGGAAGATACAAGGTCTGAATAAAAGAAGGAGAAAAATGGGTATTAAAGGACTAAGAATTGGGAGGACCCAGGACATCCAATTAGAGAGTGCCCAAGGGGGTTCAGCGTAATTACTTGCTTGGTTGGCAAGTTTTGGGGCTCTATCCTTGAGTTTTTTTATGTTGTCATACACCAGGCCAGATTGATTTAGGTAAAAACAACACTCCTCATTTATGAATATGCAGTCCTCCTTTTTCAGCAGTGAGTAAGTCAAGGCCTTGGCGGTTCTGGAGGACAACTGCAGCTAAAGAGTCAACTTGGGCCTGGAGGACTGATAAAGTTTGTGATATGTGTGTGATGCTAGCAGAGAAGTCATGAGACAGGCTACGGAAGGTCGTGACAGAGGTTGAAATGCCTGCTATTCCAGTACCGAGAGCAATAGTGGAGGCAGAAAGTCCTAAACCGACCATCAAGGGAATTAGTGGAATAACTCTTTTTTGTCGTGTCGGTGTCATGAGGGGAACAGGGAGCTCTTCGGTCCCATTTGCAAATTGAATTTTGGGGGTAAGGAAGACTAGTGTACATGTGCCTGTCCAATTAGCAGGTAGACACATGTAGGTAGAGGATCCACAGAGGAAGAAGAGACCTTGTGTGAGGCAAAACTGGAGATGTAAAGTAAAAAGATGAGAAGGAGTGCTGAAAGGGGTGTCTTGTACCCAGACTCCTAGGAATCCAGCTAGGGCGGCAGCTGTCAGAGGTTGTAATGGGGACTGATGGGGTAACTGCATAGAGGGGGAGGTTCGATTTTCATGGTGTATGAGAAAACGTTGAGTATCTATGAACAACCTTTCACTGTTATTTTCGGGGCTGGGTATAAGTAAACAAGAAGAGGGCCTGGGAGAAGAGTCTGATGAGCAAGGGGAAGGTAGCCAAGGATGGAGTGAAATACAGGGCAAGTGTCTTCCTAAGCAATAATTACTGCTAATGTTTTTAAGTTTGTCAGTATTGATAGAGGGCTTCTCTGTAATATGGAGCTGGAAGTCTCCAATTGTTTCAGTGATGTGTGTAGTTGGACTTCAGAGATGAAAAGTAAAGGAACATCGAGAAGGTGAAAGATTACCTAGGGGAATTCCAGTGGGTCTTTGCCGAGAGATACATAAAGGAGCGGCAACTGGAATAGTAGTTTGTGTAGTGAGAGGTCCAAATATGGGGGAAGTAGAGTTAATATAAGGAGAAAGGTTTTTTAAATAAGTGCGAAGGAGGGCGGCAGCTTGCTGATGTGAAATGTCTGGGGAAGTCTTGCTGGACCTGTCTAGAAAGTAAATGAATTCTTCAGGAGGGTAAAGGTGAGGGCTGTTAAAGGAAGTTCGGAGGTGTAGGGAGACAGGAGATACTGCCCAGTCTGTCTGTAAGGCGGAGACAGCTGTGTAGGCACTGGAAGAAAGGGAAATGCAAAGCCAGCAGTTGTTCGCTAAGGAGGGATTAGAAGCAGCTAGGAGAGGATGGGTAAGGTTGACAGTGTGGTGGAGATAGCTGGGGAGAGGTAGAGGGTGACATAAGAATGGGAATGAGAATAAGAGTGAGTATAAAAGTAAAGAATAGAACTTCATCAGGGTGGAAGTATTGGAGGGTGCCTTGCCAGCAAAGATCATCTATCCACTCTAAGAGGGAGTTAAGAGTGGCAGTTTGGGGATAGCACCAAGAGATATCAGCTGTGATGGCTTGAAGAAGCAGTGTAAACCGGCGGTGTAAACAAGAGTAGGCCATTTATAAGTGGTTGAGAATGGAGAATAGGAGTATGATCTGACAGAAGATAGTAGGGATGACTAGTTTTTTGGGGCTCGGCCTAAGTGGTGGGGGTGACTTCGTAAAGCCCTGTTGCAAAAAGTAGGGTAAGGACGAACAGATCGAATAGAATGAAGGGATATATTAGGCTCATAAGGGTTATTACTGTTCTTCAGAAATACGAGTGAGTTTAAGGGAAGTGGGGGAGAGTACTTGCGACTTCCAGGAGGAAGAGGAAGGGATTAGGCTGGCTGTCCGATGGACACAGCTTTATTCTGGAACAGTGAACCCAGTGGGGAGGATCCTGCAGGCGGACGGCAGTCGGGGTACTATAGATGACTAAGTAGGGTCCGGTCCATCGAGGTTGTAGAGTTTGAGGGGTCAGATTCTTAACAAGAACTGATCGTCCAGCTAGGTTGTCTTCATATGGCTGGGGATCTGGAGTAGGCAAGAGAAGATTAGCAGCCTGGCAAATTTCCTGTCTAGCCTGCTGGAGGACTGGAAGATAGTCGCCTAGAGGGCTGGTGTCTGTGATGGGGTTGGGGCCAAGCAAGAAAGTGCGTCCATACAAAAGTTCAAATGGACTGTACCCTGTAGCATCTCGAGGACAGGCTCTGATTCTGAGAAGAGCAAGAGGTAAAAGTACTGTCCAATCCTTTTTAAGTTGGAGGCTGAGATTGGTGAGGTGTGCCTTTAAAAGACCATTAGTCTGTTCTACCTTTCCTGAAGATTGAGGATGGTAAGGGATATGAAGGTTCCACTGAATACCAAGATCCTGAGAAATTGCTTGGGTGATTTGGCTAGTAAAGGCTGGTCCGTTATCAGACTGTATAGAGGTGGGAAAGCCAAACCGAGGAATTATGTCTGACAGAAGGGAAGAAATGACCGCAGTGACCTTCTCAGACCCTGTGGGGAAGGCCTCTACCCATCCAGTGAAAGTGTCTACCCAGACTAAGAGATATTTTAGTTTTCTAACTCGAGGCATGTGAGTAAAGTCAATTTGCCAATCCTCGGCAGGGGCAAATCCCCGAGCTTGATGTGTAGGAAAGGGAGGAGGCCCGAACAATCCCTGAGGGATAATAGTAGAATAGCAGATGGAACACTGAGAAGTGATCTCCTTGAGGATAGATTTCCATGATGGAAAGGAAATGAGAGGTTCTAACAGTCGGGCTAGCGGCTTGTAACCTACATGGAAGAGGTTATGAAATGACGACAGAATAGAATGGGCCTGTGAGGCTGGAAGAAGGTATTTTCCTTGGTCTAAGAACCATTTGCCTTGTGTGGGAAGAGATTGATAGGTGGAAGTTTCAGTGGGGGAATAGGTGGGAGTGACTGAAGTGAAGGAGAAAAACTGGCCATGAGGGACAGAAGTTGGAGAGCTAGCTGCTTGTCTAGCCACCTTGTCAGCATAAGCATTGGCTAGAGCAATGGAATCTGATGCCTTTTGATGCCCCTTGCAGTGAATGACCCCAGCTTCTTTTGGAAGTAAAGCAGCCTTGAGCAGAGTTTTTATTAAAGAGGCATTAATGATGGAGGACCCTTGTGTAGTGAGGAAACTTCTTTCAGCCCATATGACTGCATGGTGGTGCAGAATATGAAAGGCATATTTAGAATCAGTATAGATATTGATGTGTAGTCCTTTTGCAATAGTGAAGGCTTGAGTTAAGGCAACTAGTTCGGCTTGCTGAGAGGTAGTGGAGGGAGGCAGAGCGGTAGCCTCAATGATAGATGTGGAAGATACTATAGCATAGCCTGCCTTTGCTGGTGAGTAGCGATTAGGCCTGGTGGAACTGCCATCAATAAACCAAGTGTGATCAGTGTGAGAAACAGGGAAGAAGGAAATGTAGGGAAATGGGGTGAACATCAGGTGGATCAGAGAGATGCAGTCATGACGGTCAGGTGTGGTATCCAGAATAATGTGGGAGGCCGGATTGAAGTCCGGGCCAGGAACAATGGTAATTGTGGGAGACTCAACAAAGAGTGAGTACAGCTGAAGGAGCCGGGGAGCAGAAAGTATATGTGTCAGGTGTGAGGAAGAAAATAGATTTTGGAAATTATGAGAGCTATAGAGAGTGAGATGAGCATAGTTTGTGATTTTGAGGGCCTCTAAAAGTATTAAAGCAGCGGCAGCCACTGCACGGAGACACGAGGGCTAGGCTAAAACAGTAAGGTCAAGTTGTTTGGACAGAAAGGCTACAGGGTGCGGTCCTGGCTCTTGTGTAAGAATTCTGACCGTACTAACCATGCCTAGGAAGGCAAGGAGTTGTTCTTTTGTAAGGGATTGAGGTTTGGGAGATTAGTCGGACACGATCAGCAGGGAGAGCACGTGTGTTTTTACGAGAATTATGCCGAGATAGGTAACAGATGAGGATGAAATTTGGGCTTGACTGAAGTAATGGGGGCTGTCTGTGAAGCCTTGCGGCAGTACAGCCCAGGTAATTTGCTGAGCCTAATGGGTGTCAGGGTCAGTCCAAGTGAAAGCCAAGAGAGGCTGGGATGACGGGTGCAAAGGAATAGTAAAGAAAGCACGTTTGAGATCCAGAACAGAATAATGGATTGTGGAGGGAGGTATTGAGGATAGGAGAGTATATGGGTTTGGCACCACGGGGTGGATAGGCAAAACAATTTGATTGATAAGGCGCAGATCCTGAACTAACTTGTAAGGCTTGTCTGGTTTTAGGACAGGTAAAATGGGGGAATTGTAAGGAGAGTTTATAGGCTTTAAAAGGCCATGCTGTAGCAGACGAGTGATAACAGGCTTTAATCTTTTTAAAGCGGGCTGCGGGATGGGATATTGGCATTGAGTGGGGTAAGGGTGATTAGGTTTTAATGAGATGGTAAGGGGTGCATGATCAGTCGCCAAGGAGGGAGTAGAGGTATCTTATACTTGTGGGTTAAGGTGGGGGGATACAAGAGGAGGACGCAAAGGAGGCTTTGGATTGGGAAGAAGGGCGGCAATGAGATATAGCGGTAGTCCAGGAATAGTCAGGGAAGCAGATAATTTAGTTAAAGTGTCTCAGCCTAATAAGGGAACTGGGCAGGTGGGGATAACTAAAAAAGAGTGCTTAAAAGAGTATTGTCTAAGTTGGCTCCAGAGTTGGGGAGTTTTAAGAGGTTTAGAAGCCTGGCCGTCAATACCCACAACAGTTATGGAGGCAAGGGAAACAGGCCCTTGAAAAGAAGGTAATGTGGAGGGGGTAGCCTCCGTATTGATTAAGAAGGGGATGGACTTACTTTCCACTGTGAGAGTTACCTAAAGCTCGGCGTCCGTGATGGTCTACGGGGGCTTCCGAGGTGATCAAGCAGCGTCAGTCTTCAGCCGCTAAGCCGAGGAGTCAGTCAGAGAGCCTTGGGCCAGAGTTCCAGGGGCTCTGGGAGTGGCTGCCAGGTGAGTTGAACAGTCCGATTTCCAGCGGGGTCCCACACAGTTGGGACACGGCTTAGGAGGAATCCTGGGCTGCAGGCATTCCTTGGCCTGGTGGCCAGATTTCTGGCACTTGTAGCAAGCTCCTGGGGGAGGAGGTTCTGGAGGAATGCCTGGCTGCTGCAGTTCAGGCATTTGGAAGTTCTTGTGTGCTGGAGATGTGGCTGGGGTTTGTCTCACAGTGGAGGCAAAGAATTGCAACTTTTTTCTATTATTGTACACCTTGAAGGCGAGGTTAATTAAATCCTGTTGTGGGGTTTGAGGGCCGGAATTTAATTTTTGGAGTTTTATTTAATGTCGGGAGCAGATTGGGTAATAAAATGTATTTTGAGAATAAGACGGCCTTTTGACCTTTTAGGGTCTAGGGCTGTAAAGTGTCTCATGGTTGCTGCCAAACAAATCATGAACTGGGCTGGATTTTTATATTTGATGAAAAAGAGCCTAAATGCTATCTGATTTGGGATAAAGAAAAAGAGCATTAACCTTGACTATGCCTTTAGCTCCAGCCACCTTTTTAAGAGTAAATTGCTGGGCAGGAGGGGGAGGGCTAGTCAGGGAATGAAACGGTAAGCCAGACCAGGTGTGAGGAGGGGGGGTGATAAAAAGATTACAGGGTGGAGGAGCAGAGGCTGAGGAAGAATTGGGACCTAGCTCGGCCTGGTGAGGAGCAGCCTGGGGAGGAAGGGAAAGGTCAGATGGGTCTGTAGAAAAGGAAGATTAGAAAGACTCAGCGATGCTTGGGGTTGGTACTGAGGGGAGAGGCGGGAGGGAAAGAAGGAAGATTTAGGACGAGTTGCACTGGGCACAGAGACTAGGAAGGGACTGATGTGTAAAAGAATGCCTAGACGTCAGGCACCTCAGACCATTTGCCTATTCTACGACAAGAATTATTTAGATCTTGCAGGATGGAAAAATTCAAAGTGCCATTTTCTGGCTATTTGGAACTACTGTCAAATTTATATTGGGGTCAAGCGGCATTGCAGAAGAAAATAAGGCATTTAGGTTTTAGGTCAGGTGTGAGTTGAAGAGGTTTTAAGTTTTTGAGAACACAGGACAAAGGAGTAGAAGGAGGAATGGAGGGTGGAAGGTTGCCCATAGTGAAGGAAGCCTAGAGAAAAGAGAGAGTAGAGAAAAGGAGGGAAGGGGTTCGGAGGTTCTTACCTTCCAGAAAAGTGGGAAAAGGGGTTGGGGCACAGAGATTAGAGGTCGGGGCACGGAAATAAGGGATGGGGTGCAGAAATAAGGGGTCGGGGCAAGGAAATAAGGGGTCGGGGCATGGAAATAAGGGGTCGGGGCACGGAAATAAGGGGTCGGGGCACGGAAATAAGGGGTCGGGGCACGGAAATAAGGGATTGGGGCGCAGAGATAAGAGGTCGGGGTGCGGAAATAAGGGATTGGGGCGCAGAGATATAAGAGGTTGGGGCACGGAAATAAGGGATTGGGGCGTGGAAATAAGGGATTGGGGCACAGAGATAAGAGGTTGGGGTGCAGAAATAAGGGATTGGGGGTTCTTGCCCTGTAGAGTTTTGGGTCCACCGATAAAACGTGTCTCCTTTGTCTCTACCAGAAAATGAAAGGAATTGAAATTAAGAGAAGGGGGAGATTGAAGTGTGGCGCCAAGATTGAAAGGAGAAAGAGGTTGAGGGATAGTGAGGGAGGTTGGAGAAGAGAGTAAAAAGAGGCCGCTTACCGGATTTGAAATTGGTGAGATGTTTCTTGGGCTGGTTGGTCTGAGGACCTGAGGTCGTAGGTGGATCTTTCTCACGGAGCAAAGAACAAGAGGACAGGGGATTGATCTCCCAAGGGAGGTCCCCCGATCCGAGTCACGGCACCAAATTTCACGCGCGTCCATGTGAAGAGACCACCAAACAGGCTTTGTGTTAGCGACATGACTGTTTATTTCACCTGGGTGCAGGTGGGCTGAGTTGGAAAAGAGAGTCAGCCAAGGGAGATAAGGGTGGGGCCGTTTTATAGGATTTGGGTAGGTAAAGGAAAATTACAGTCAAAGGGGGTTTGTTCTCTGGCGGGCAGGAGTGGGGGCTGCAAGGTGCTCAGTGGGGGTGCTTTTTGAGCCAGGATGAGCCAGGAAAAGGACTTTCACAAGGTAATGTCATCAGTTAAGGCAAGGACCGGCCATTTACACTTCTTTTGTGGTGGAATGTCATCAGTTAAGGTGGGGCAGGGCATATTCACTTCTTTTGTGATTCTTCAGTTACTTCAGGCCATCTGGGCGTATATGTGCAGGTCACAGGGGATGCGATGGCTTGGCTTGGGCTCAGAGGCCTGACAGAAAGCATAAAATGAGAACTATAGAAAAAGTACATAGTGTAGAAATAAAATAAAATTTCAGGACTATCTAAATTTAGTATGTCAAGGAAAAAAATTAAGCCCTGGAGACTCTCACGTAGCATATTTGCAATTCTGCCCTTAGATTGTAGATTGGCTCTCTTCCTGATTGTTCTTGTTCTAAAAATGACTAGCAGAGACCAGATATCAGACCTTCCCCTACTTCCAAGTACTCATCTTTGTTATAGATTAACTGCCTCCTTTATTGTCTGGTACCTAATTCAGACCAGATGGCACCCAAGACCCCATGACTGTTACATCTTCAGTGTGGAATGTTAAATATACCTTTCCCAAAACAAAAGCACCACCTGGACCAATCAGCTAATTGTAACTATGCCATTAAGGCTTATGAAGAAAGATGCTGAAATTTTGTTAAGCTCCCCTAAACTTTGTCTCTATAAGTGATCCCAAACTTCTATACTTCTGAACTCTGACTTCCATTCTTTGGAATCTGTCCTTCCTGAACAGCTTGTCCTCAAACTTTGTGGACAAGAGAATAAACTCTCTTTAAATTCGCTTCTGACTCTTTTAGTTATTTTAGGTTGATAACAGTAAATGTCAGGCTCTTAACTAAAAGGCCAGATAGAGGAAGGGCTAATAGCCACAATGTCTGTGTGCAAGATGGTTATGTGGTGAAAGTTAGTTGATAGGATATTGAGGAACAGAATAAAGGAAAGAGAATAGGTAACTTCTAAGAGAGAACCAGGGAAAGAATGAAAGCAAGAGCAAGAGTGAGCAAATGATGTGAGCATGATGCCTGAGCTCTACAGTGGCAGTACATGCCCAGGCCTAGCTCAAGTTTTCTGAAGTACTCAGGAACATGCATCCTTGCAATAAACCCCTTTTTGTCCTAAAGTCATTTAAAAATGTTTTTCTTAAAATGTTAAGAACCCTATCTGAAAGAGCCATAGCTGAGTGGTTTTATGTTTTTTTTTAACACCAGAGATTATAAATTTCATAGTTAAGCTGTGCTTGGCATCAGTGAAAACTTCTCATCATTTTTAAAAATGTAACTTACAAAACCTTCAGTATTCTTGTGCTAAAGAGAATGTGAGAACTTGATGTTATGATATTGTTAAGTCAGCCTGATGCTGTAACTATGGACCCTGTAGACTCAGCTCCTCCCTCCCAAAGGCTTGTGCAAGATCCTTGCTGTGCTTTTTTTTTTTTTTTTTTGCTAGTTTACCATTTCATTGTGCATAACTCTAAGTCTAATTTATTTGGATAAAACAAATATTCTCGCCAACAATTTGCCTATCTGCCTTTGTATCTTAAACCTCTCTGTATCTAATAAGTTTCTGTATCTTTTGTATCTTTTCATTTCTCACCATGTTTTGTTGTTTTTTCTTTCCAACTCATACATGTCAAATAATGTTCTCAGCTCTTACTATAAGCTTTAATATTTCTTGACTGAGATAAAAAATAATCCTTTTTTCCTTTACTTGCTCTATCTATCAGGAGACATTTCCTAACTTTATCCTTTAAGAATGTTGGGTATTAAAACATATCTGATGTTTCAATAAGTTCAGGTAATTCTAACTGATCATGGTGAGAAGGTTACACATTGTTGCAGGATAGAAAACACTAAGATGTTAAAACTTCAGATTAAACAGAAGTTTTGATAAATATCCAAAAAATTAAATTTTATCACATCAAATATTCATTTCATGCTTTTTTGTCTACTTTAAAGTGGGTAAATATTAGATATTCAATTATTTCATATTTTAAACAATTACTTTTCATACAAAATGTGATTGCAAAGATGTTAAACTGGATTGGGTGAAGGGTGAGTCCTTGAGCTTCACTCTTCATTCCAGTCTTCATCCTTATATGTAGAATCTAAGCCATATACTGTTTTTAGTTCACTTTTTCTGAAAATGGATTTCTGAAAACAGATCAGCAAATGAAAACAATGGATATTATCAGATTTCAGATGTAAAAAAGAATGGCCTCTAGGCTATATCAGATTATATTTATTAAAACTCTATGTAATAGGTAAGACACATGCAAATATGATTTTAAACATGCCTCTGTATTTATTTAATCATTACTGAAATGTATTTAGCTCTTAAGTCCCTGTGTTTCCTGATGTGGAAAGTGCAGTCTTGCTTTTTCTAGGTAATTTATTACTAGCTAAATTATCAGTTAAAATTTGGTCACTTTGGAGAAAATCTAGGCAATTCAGATGTGTCCTGCTCTCATTCCTTCCCTTCTCCTGAGAGCACCTGAACCTTTGGGAGTGACTGGGAAAGGCCCCTGGTCCATTTTCTCCTCTCTGTCCTGACTACCCTCTGCTAAGAGGGCTTTTATAGCTTGGTTGTGTCTATTACAGACAAGATTTAAAATTAAAAATACGTTCTCACTTCAAATCATAGTTCTTGCAATTTAGAGCCTTGCCTTTCAAGAAAATCTTCTTTCCTGTGGGTTGAAACAGTCATTCGGCAAGTCACATGAAGTTCTTTTTGCTCTTTATCTGCCAGGGATAAAGGGTAAGGACAAAAAGAAATGGAAAAACATATCATGTGGCAAATCAAAATACTACCAACTATAGTCCAGCCACCTTATTTTTAGCTAAATTTAATATCATGTTCATTTTAACAATAGTTGATACTTAATATTAAGTACATTATGCAATTATCTGCATGATTAATTTCTCTTTAGATAGTTGTTTCAACCATTAAGTATCTCAATTTTTCATATTTCTTAAGAATTTTAAAAAATCCGTCTCACAGGGAATGAGGGACAATTAGATACATGTGAAGGAGAAGAGACATACTTAGCTTCTTTTCCTACTCCTTTCTCTGGTAGATTATATTATTTTTTCAAACATACATATTTGCTTCCCCTCCCTTTTGCTCCCTCTTTGGAAACCAGTGAAAAAAGAATATTTCTCTCCTCTCGAACATAAGATTTTGCTACATTACTGGCTTTGGCAAATACAATGAGCAGAAATATATGTACACAACAGCTGGGTAGAATTTTTATGAGCTTCATGACAAGTTTATGAGTTTTATGTTCTATATTTTTTTCCATTGTTTCTGCCAGATGATTGTTATGTTTGAGATAAGGGCTATTCTTTCATGATCATAATAAAGAGGAAAAGAAGCACAAACATAGATGACCCACAAAGGTGATTGAAAATGAACCCTTTGTTGGTAAAAGCTCTGTACATTTGGGAGTAATTTGCTAACAAGCATAAGTTAGGCAGAAATGATCAATACACTATCTTGACTGCATGCATATAATGACATTATGTAACCCTGAACCACTGGACTAAATTGGACTGCTAGACCCCACGTCTTCCATCTCCCTGTGCCCCATCTTCTTCCTACACATTCCTTGCAGCATATGAAGTAATTTAGGGGAGAATCCTTTCCTGAATTTACCTATGGTAAGCAGCAGCCTTCAACAATTAATTAAGCAAGGATCAATTTGAAATATGTTGCAGATTAAATTATTGTTAAGCAGCCTAGTAGTAACAAAATGGTTTTCAGGAATTTTCTATTCACAAGCAAGCTGAGTCCATCTGTAGGAAAATTCCATCTTCTCAACTGGTTAAATTTTCACAATGACATCAAAATAAATACATACATGCAAAGGTTGAGTGCCAGCATTGTTGTAATTTTTGTTTGATCTATGTCATATTTATTATTAATAAGATATTTCTTGCTAAGTTGAAAATGAGAATGGTTATTGAGAAGTAGTTGTAGTATGTGGGACTATGAACCTCTAGTCATGGTTTGAGGGTTACTTAGCCCTCACAGAAAAATTTTCAAAGATGTATTAGTCATAAATTACATTAAGGTTTTCACAATAAAATATTGCTACTTATTTTTAATGTAATGTCTCACAAAGAAGAAAAAAATTTCTTCTGTGGACTGAAAAAATATTTTCTGTGTGAGATATTACATTTAAAAAATTCTAGTTTTCAGTAATCAGACATTCTTCTACATAGTATGGTGATATTATTTAGATATCACTTATATTAATGTAGTTTCTTCCGAATACTATTTCATTTATTTCTCTACCTCTTCGTGTGAGAACCTTATATCTGTATCTCTGAAATGTAAATAAAGAGGTAAATTGATATACATAAATTGATTTACTTTTTAAAGGTGCATAACAAGGGTTTCCTATATGCTTACCTCTGATAAATAAGTCCTATACAAATGACATACCCGTTATAAAAGTATCACAGACTCTTAGGTCACAATAATTGATAAAAATCATCCAGCATAAGAAAAGTAATATTCCCACTGCACTTTGCAATCTCTTGCTTTCATCTGTGGACCAAACATTAGGAGAGCCTTGTCAAAGCACAGTGTGTTCAGAGGAGTGAGTCAAAAGGCATGTTATTTAAAGGATACACATTTAGACACCTTAAAAATATATGTGCCTCAAAACAAATACGAAGCAAGCTGGGATATTTAACTTTAGGAAGAAAAAGCTTGGAAAGTGGGGAGAATATATATTCACATACTATATTACATTATTTTATATTACTTTTGCTAGAAAACTAGTATGTGGAAGAGAGTGTAAATATAATCTATTTTGCTCCAGAGAGAATTAGGTGAGTTGATAATATTGGGCACACAGATTTTAGCTTAAAATCCGGATAACTTTCTTACCAATTGTTGTTTGCAAAGATTGGATGAGCTGCCCTACAATAGGGTATGTGCTCATTCTCAGAAGTGTCAGAGAGTGGTATGTGGAAGCTGCTTAGAAGACATATTGACACTGGTGTCTTTAGTCAAGACACTTTGACTAAACTAAAAGATCTGGAGAATTATCTCCATTTTTCACAGTTCTTCTAGACCTCGCCTCCCTTGATCAATAATAAGGATAATGTAGTTACATATATAAAAACAATAATACAAATAAGCATGACAACAATAGTTAATGTTTATTGAAGGCTTACGGGGTACCAGAAATTATTCTAAGTCCTTTATGCCTTAAAATTGCTTAATTATCACAGGGCGCGGTGGCTCATGCCTGTAATCCCAGCACTTCGTGAGGCCAAGGTGGGCAGATCACAAGGTCAAGAGATTGAGACCATCCTGGCCAACATGGTGAAACCCCAACTCTACTAAAAATAAAATAAAAAAAAAATAGCTGGGCATGGTGGCGTGCACTGGTAGTTCCAGCTACTTGGGAGGCTGAGGCGGGAGAATTGCTTGAACCTGGGAGGCGGAAGTTGCAGTGAGCTGAGATACACCACTGTGCTCCAGCCTGGTGACAGAGTCAGACTCCGTCTCAAAAAAAAAAAAAAAAAGCTTAATTCTCGCAACAAACATGTGAGGTAGGTAATAGTATTTTTCCCGTTTACAGATGAAGAGAAATGATTAAATGACTTGTGTAAGTTCAAACAGCAAATAGAAAACAGTGAAATTTGAATCTTGACAGTTGGATTCTGAGCATACAGTCCTAAATACTATACCACACTACCCCTCTGTTTCAGTAGTTATGTTACCTTTTATATATTTCACTAGCCATAATAATAAATATCCATTGACCTTCTTAAATTAAAAAATTCCCAAAGCCAAATCTAGTTATTTTAAAATTATATATAATCTACAACCCAGAAATTATATCTCTAATATTCTTAAAAAAGTTGCACTCTGCATTTATGCACCAGTAAATACTAACAATGATACATGTAATATACATTTTTTATTATACTTTAAGTTCTAGGATACATGTGCAGAATATGCAGGTTGGTTACTTAGGTATACATGTGCCACAGTGGTTTGCTGCACCCATCAACCCATCATCTACATTAGGTATTTCACTTAATGCTATCCCTCCTCTAGTCCTCCACCCCGCTACAGGCCCCAGTGTGTGATGTTCCTCTCCCTGTGTCCATGTGTTCTCATTATTCAACTCTCTCTTATGAGTGAGAACATGCGGTGTTTGGTTTTCTGTTCCTGTGTTAGTTTGCTGAGAATGATGGTTTCCAGCTTCATCCATGTCCCTGCAAAGGACATGAACACATCCTTTTTTATGGCTGTGTAGTATTCCATGGTGTATATGTGCCACATTTTCTTTATCGGCTGTATCATTGACGGGCATTTGGGTTGGTTCCAAGTCTTTGCTATTGTGAATAGTGCTGCAATAAACATATGTGTGCATGTGTCTTTATAGTAGAATGATTTATAATCCTTCGGGTATATACTCAGTAATGGGGTTGCTGTGTCAAATGGTATTTTTGGTTCTAGATCCTTGAGTAATTGCCACACTGTCATCTGCAGTGGCTGAACTAACTTACACTCCCACCAACAGTGTAAAAGCATTCCTGTTTCTCCACATCCTCTCCAGCATCTGTTGTTTCTGACTGTTTAATGAGTGCGATTCTAACATGAGATGGTATCTCATTGTGGTTTTGATTTGCATTTCTCTAATGACCAGTGATAATGAGCTTTTTTTTTCATATGTTTGTTGGCCACATAAATGTCTTCTTTTTAGAAGTGTCTGTTCATATCCTTCACCCACTTTTTAATAGGGTTGTTTGTTTTTTTCTTGCAAATTTGTTTATGTTCCTTGTAGATTCTGGCAAATTGTCTCTGTTTGCAGATGACATGATTGTATATTTAGAAAAACCCATTGTCTCAGCCCAAAATTTTCTTAAGCTGATAAACAACTTGAGCAAAGTCTCAGGATACAAAATCAATGTGAAAAAATCACAAGCATTCCTATACATTAATAACAGACAAACAGAGAGCCAAATCATGAGTGAACTCCCATTCCCAATTGCTACAAAGAGAATAAAAGACCTAGGAATACAACTCACAAGAGATGTGAAGGACCTCTTCAAGGAGATCTACAAACCACTGTTCAAGGAAATAAGAGAGGACACAAATAAATGGAAAAACATTCCATGCTCATGGATAGGAAGAATTACTTTGGCCATACTGCCCCAAGTAATTTACAGATTCAATGCTATCCCCATCCAGCTACCACTGACTTTCTTTACAGAATTAGAAAAAACAAACTACTTTAAATTTCATATGGAACCAAAAAGAGCCCATAAAGCCAAGAGAATCCTAAGCAAAAAGAATAAAGCTGGAGGCATCACGTTACCTGACTTCAAACTATACTACAAGGCTACAGTAACGAAAACAGCATGGTACTGGTACCAAAAGGTATATATAGACCAATGGAACAGAACAGAGGCCTCAGAAATAACACCACACATCTTCAACCATCTGATCTTTGACAAACCTGACAAAAAAACAGCAATGGGGAAAGGATTCCCTATTTAATAAATGGTGTTGGGAAAACTGGCTAGCCATATGTAGAAAACTGAACTGGACCCTTTCCTTACACCTTATACAAAGATATGTGTAATATTTTTTATAAAATCTGAAAATTGAAAGCAATTAATTTTTTTGAACATTAAATTCAGGGGTACATATGCAGGTTTGCTATACAGGTAAATTATGTGTCATGAGTGTTTAGTGTATAGATTATTTTGTTACCCAGGTAATAAGCACAGTATCTGATAGTTTTTCACTCCCCACCTCCTTCCCAACCTCCACCTTCAAGTAGGCTCCAGTGTCTGTTGTTCCCTTCTTTGTGTCCATATGTACTTGATGTTTAGCTCCCACTTACAAATGAGAAAATGTGGTATTTGGTTTTTGTTCCTGTGTTAGTTTGCTAAGGGTAACGGCCTCCACCTCTATCCATGTCACTGCAAAGGATATGATCTGATTCTTTTTCATGGCTGCCTAGTATTCCATGGTGTATATGTACCAACCACATTTTCTTTATCCAGTCTTCTGTGGATGGGCATTTAGGTTGATCGATGTCTTTGCTATTATGAATAGTGCTGCAGTAAATGAACATGTGCATGTGTATTTGTGAAAGAATGACATAACAATTTAAAAATTAATCATTGTGGACTGAATAAATACATTTTGGTATAATCATTTGATAGAAGACTATTTGGATAAAATACAGTAATACAGTATTTAGATAAAATACAGTATACACATGACCAGGACAAAAAATAAATCAGAGTAAAAGTTAAGAACAATATCATTTACCTAATTTTAGAAATACACATAGCTATATATGCAATAAAAGGACATATAGTTACATTTTGTTGTTTGTTCTAGAAAGGAGGGGAGAGGAATGCAATAGGGAAAGACTATAAAGAATAATGTGGCCTTCAACTATACATGTAATATTTTATATATCTTATATGAAATACTAAATAATACTGTATTTTACACAAAATACTATATAATAAAATATAAATTATTACATATAACATGGAGCAATTACAATGAAAATGCTAGTATTTACTAATTGTGGATGATTGCTACTGGAATTTTGGGATATTTTCCTTTCTACTTTTCCTCGTTTTCAAATATTTAAATTAAAAATAAATTAGAACATATACAACAGAAAAATATTAGACATTTTTACAGTTCATTCTTTCCAAAATGCTTAATTTTAAAAATTATAATAACTACCTAAATGAAAGAAAAAATAACCATTTGTTATCAAGATAATATTTGTAGAAACGAATTAAAAGTCCTTCAAACATTATTTAATCTGATCATTTTTATCACATCATAAAAAGGGCAGGTATTCTTTTGCTTTTATATAATGATGTTATTCTCTTTTATAATATAGTTTCCAAAGTCAATGTACATGAAAAGTAAAAAATATCTTTCCTGGTTATCTGCATAAGATGTGATAACCAAAAAACTTCCAATGTAATAACCATGTGGAACTAACAGCACTCTTTTTCTAAATGTACTGATTTTTCTTTTCAATAGCTTTTTCTCACAAAGCAGCTGACCGTTTTTGGCAAGATTTAAGAATTTTAACCTACAGCTCTCTTTAGCTGTCTGTGCTAGGCATGCATGGCAACAAATGCCTTCTGAATTTCCCTCAAAAGAAGCTTCTTTTTGCCTGTATTTTCTCTTTCTCTTGAGGAAAGCAAACAAACTTCATTTATGCTGTGCCTTTATTTTAAAAGAAAAACCACAGAATGTGAACTATGTAAACTAAATAAATTGAAAGCTATGATAACACTGTATGTAATCTTGACATCACTTTAAGTCTTGCAACATTAAATATAAATCTTGGAACAAATTATTTTGTGGCCCAAGAGAAAGCACACAAGAGAAATTTGTTATTTCCCTTTTTGTGTATGCTTTTGTTTCCATCTGTGAAAAATGGATATTGGTTAGGGGGGACTAGCAGACTAAATTTCCTGTTTCTTCCTGCCTTTCCCCAACTCTATGTGAAAGATAAAAACTCAGAACACGGATTTCCTGCTGAGCTTGCTGCTCTATCCTTTCTGGGAATTTTCCTAATTGAGAAAAAAAGTCCAGATGGAAAAATGTAACCTCCTTTGAGAATTCAATAGGCAATTTAAAAAGTGCTCAAACATTTGTCCAATCTCTTCTCCTAGGTTCTGGCACATGCGAAATGCACCTGATAAAGAAGTGTGATTGGTCTGCTCACCATATTCTCTTTAAGCTCAGATTTAATTAAGAAAAGTAATGTTTTACTTAACACAGAATTATAAAACCATTATTCACCAAAACGATTATAAGCTATTACAAAATTTAACAAAGTAAACACACTTGATTTTCTTAACAATGCCTTAAGATAGCACACAGGATGTTTAAATAACTTTACAAGTGTTAACTCCAACTCTATAATCCTTGAGTTTAACCATTATGAGGTATTGTTTCACTGAACTTTTTAGGACTAAGAGGTTTGCAAATTAATGATCCCTTTTTCTTTGTAGTATGTAAGGGATCAGTTAATACACACAAAACCTTGGGTGAGTGAACAAAAAGAAAGAAAAGACCATGGAAAGGAGAAGCAAAACTGCTGAGAATAAATTCACAGCCTTGTCCCTGAAAATTAACCCCTGTTGTGCGCACCAGAGTTTTAGAATGTATGGATTTCATTTAGGATATCTGCCTGGACCCCCTTCAAAAAAAGTCAAACCTCAGGGGACAGTTATCTTTGCTTTTATGGTTTCTACATCTCTCAGGACCCTGTTTGCTTCTGCATTGGAATGTTAAGTCTCAGAATTTATACTTTTAACCATTCTGTGTTTTATTCTTTAATGAGCCTTTAATTGTTTTGCTTTTATTTATTTTCTATATTTTAAACTGGTTTTAGGCTTTTCATTTACTAGGCCATTTATTTTAATTATTTTGTAACACATTCTTATTCATTTAATCTTTTATTGCTTGTATTCCATTGAAAATCATTTAATATTGAATCCTGTATATAATATTTTATTTTTAACGAATTTTGTTGTTTTCAGTGTTATTTTAACTCTTAGTATTTAAGTAATTAACTTGAGTTATTTTAACTCTTAAGTATTATTATTGGTGCTGTATTAATGTATATATAATGCATGATGATCATGTATATGAATATAGCATGGTATAAACCACAGAAGTTGAGCCTTTTTTCCCTTCTACTTAATAGAGCGGCAAGCCTTCTATCCGCCTAGGATGGACTACCCATCCCTTAGCAAAAATTGTACTCAAATACTCTGTGATCACCACATTGAATAATTTCATAGGTCCAGAGACAAAATTTTAACTGTCCTGCAAGGAAGGACAGTAGCAAATTGCATAAGAAGTTTGTCTTCTCATACAAAACCATTTCATTTTGAATCTCCCAGGAAAATTACATGTAAGGATAGGTCCATTTTACTGCAATCTCCCCACCAGTATACACATTTGCTGATTTCTGTCTCTTTATGAATTGAGTTTCAGGGATAATTACTTGTGGCATAGATTATCTTATCTCTCTTATTGATTAAGAATGCTTAAGGAACTTTTGACCTCAGAAAGAATTAAGTTTACAATCTATTCCTGCTGTTTCAGACTGTATAAAGGGAACTAAGCCCTTGATGGATCCTGGCCTGAGAAAGCCTGGCTGATTAGATAAGACAATCCTGCCCAGATTTTTTCAGAGTGCACAAGACCAGCTAGTAGTCATCTTCATTCTTTCCTTGATTATAACCTCTGAGCATCACAAAAGTTTCAACTGAATTGACTTATGCAGTTTCTAGACTCTGTTCATTTCTTTAGTTGAGAACAGAATTTCATTTTAGGAAGGTTTCAGTCCTGCAAAGCAGGTACAAATGTAGCTGATTTTCTCTAATGTGTTGTCCTTCTCAGCAGTGAAATTGTATATTTGCCCTCAGGTATATTAACTTGGGCATTATTGACATTTTAGAACAGGTAATTCCTTGTTGCAGTAGGTTGCCCTGTGCACCGCAGGCTATGTAGCAGCATTGCTAGTCCCTATACACTAGATGCCAGTACACAACTGCCCCTGATGGTAACAACTGAACATGTCTCCAGAATTTGCCTAACATTCAGTGAAGAACGGAATCATTCCCAGTTGGGAACCATTGTTCCACTTTGAGCCTCACTCTGAAAACCTGACTGCATCTGGGGTGTTCTACTTAACTGTCTGTTCCTATGCTCTGTGTCTCACATTCTCCCTCTGAACTAATTATCTACCTGTGAGCTTTGGGGCTCTCAGGTAGCTTCTCAGAAAAGTTTATTTGGGTATGATATATGGCCATTCTCTCAACTGATTTTCATTTCAAATAAAATAAAATAATAAAATAAATGCCAGTAAAATAAAATACTTGATTAACTAAGAATATCTGCTAATTATGGAGAATAATAAAAGCATAAAGACAAAATTTAAATAGTACATATTATTCATATGTATTTCCCAACTATAGGCATTGTAAAACGTTATTCCATATATTCTCAGTCATGGAGAGCTCTACAGATATATGTTTCTGTTTTTTTTTTTAAATGGATTATATTTTGTCTATCAGTGTGTGGTCTGTTTTGAATGACTTCACTTTTTTTTGTATTCTAATACATTATTTTATTAGCCATGTTATTTAATTGCAAATGTTTGATTAGTTACTAAACCAACAATCTGTTGTTAGAAAGCTGCATCTTTTAAATGATTATAAAATGTCTGAATTTCATAGGCAATATATTTTAGAAGGCCTGTATCTCTGCTACCACATTGGTATTAATAATATATTTTACTTCAAAGGAATTAGGCTGGTCCCAGCTTATGAAGTCAGCCAGGTTGTAGCCACAGATCCATGGACTTCTATATTTTATTACGTAAGTGGCTACATCTTCCAATGGTAGTATGATACTATTAGAAGATTTATCTCCCAGGGAGGACAATTTAAAAGTATAGAAATGTTTACCTGGTAATATTCCCTCTAGGCTACCACAATCTCATAAAAAATTTGTAGAGGCAGAGTAGCATTGGTTGAGTATTGACTAAAGGAGTAAAGGCGCCAGACGTGGGTAAATTTATTCTAAAACAAGACTTAGACCAGAGTACAAGTTCTTCTGAGTGAGGATTGGACTAACTTCTATATATAATATGTACAGTGGTATATTAAAATGTGTCTGTATTGTATTAGAGTTCAAAGATTATGTTCATGACCATATATCTCAATGATACCAGAGTATGAGTTCAAAAGAAATTGAATACACTTTGTCTTTTTTATTCTATATTCCTTCTGATCACTTGAATTTTCAAATGTCTTCTATGAGTAACTAAGTTTGAATTTTATATATATATCATTATTATTATTTGAGAATAGAGTATCACTCTGTCACCCAGTCTGGAGTGCAGTGGCATGATCTTAGCTCACTGCATCCTCTCGGGTTCAAATGATTCTCATGCCGCAGCCTTCCGAGTAGCCGAGACCACAGGCCTGTGCCCCCACACCCAGCTAACTTTTGCATTTGTAGTAAAGATAGGGTTTCGCCATGTTGCCCGGCTGGTCTCAAACTTCTGATCTGCCTGTCTCAGCCTCCCAAAGTGCTGGGATTACAGGTGTGAGCCACCACACCTGGTCTGAATAATAATTTTTATTCAAAATATTTTTTTTGTCTTTATTAAGTATATATTTGTGTTTTCACTAATTTTTTCTAAGAGGAACCAGAAAAAAAAAAAAAAGACATTGGTCCATGCTTTTTGGAACTCTGAGGAAACATGGCTCACTAACAATCACAAAGCTAATGGTTTTGTGATTATCTATTTCCCTTTGTCTAATAATACAAGACACATCTACAAAAACAAGAATGGTTAGCAGACAGAGAGTTTGACTGATTTTTGGTAAGAATCATAAAAATATTGCTAACAGATAATCTCTATTTTAGACATTTGAAAATAATTTCCTGTAAGTTTATAAACATTTTATTAAAATATTTTTACTTACAAGTTTCTTAGAAAAAACTTTAAAAAGTATGAAAAAATAGCACATATACATATCACATAGACATATTTATTAAGCACCAACTATATGACAAATACCGTTCAAGGATTTAAAAAAACAGCAAAGGGCAAGACAGATAAAACCACAATAAAGTGAATTCTACCAATGATCACAACTTTTACTCTGAAGGAGGATTACAACAAACTGAAGAATGTCTCACCTTTTGATATATCTCCTTTTAAAGCTGCTTAGAAATAAGTTATTCATGTAAAATTCTGTTTATTTATGCCTTTTAATTTATAGAGAGTCAGGTTGGTGTATCTTGGGGAGGTTTTCACTGGTTATTCAACATCTAAAATGTAAAGAAAAAATTTTATTCATCTCATATTCAGATTTTTTAAAAAAAAATTTAAAATTTGAATCCCATGGTGAATAATTATATTTTTATGTCAATTTCTAGTCACTTGCACTTTACAGTTTATGATAGTAAACTCCTTTAATGACACTTAAATTTTTTTTCTCAGTTTTATAGGCAAAACCTGGCAAAATTTTAAATTTGCAGTCCATTGAGTAACAGCGAAGTTGAATATTAATTTTCTTATTGGATATTTTTCTTTTTCTTTTGTGAATCGTTATTTATGTTCTTTGCTTATTTTATATTAGGTAAACATATGTACATATATTACATATGTTACATAAACTTACGTATATATTTTGCATATATGTATATATACACATAAGCTTAAGGATAAAATGCAATATTCTTTCTATTATTAGATACTATTGTCCTAACACAAATCTGTATAATGATAATAGTAGTATAGTAATAATAAACATTATTTAATACCTAGTACTGTTGTATCTTTTCAAATAACTATTTTAATCTTTAAACAATCCTCTAAGGTAGCTATTGTCACTATTTTAAATCTAAAGAAATTTGAGAATTATTAGAAAGCTCAATTAAATTGGCCAGAGTTTTAGTACTTACTGGCAGTAAGGAGCCAAGCATAGTTTAAACTCAAATCTGTTACTCCTTTGTCTGTAATCGTTCCAGTGGGCACTAATGCATCGACACCCACTATGCAAGTGATTAGAAGGCAGAGAGTAAGTGACATTTTGATTCGCATTGGCAAGGCCCCTTCTGTCATCATGAAATTATTTTTATAATCTTTCTTCTTTTATTATGTTTTTATTTCTAACCCAAAGGACTGATGTTGTTTGAAATAAGAAGTGTTTGGTTGGTTGAAGTCTTTGTTTGGAGAGGAGAAAACTGGAATGTGATCAAAATTTGTAGGAATAGAGAAGAAAATGGTGGTCCTTCGAATACTATGTTTCTTCAAATTCTATTAAAATGATTCATGCTTGCTCAGAGAACAGGGATTACTTGTGGTTAATTACTGCCCTCTGTTGACGACATGATATATAAATTGTAATTCATGTTCTAAAAAGAAAGTTAAAACTACAAGAAAACTCATTTATGAAGATTAGTAATTAAACCTCAAAAAATTCAAGTGCTTGCCCAAACACCTATATAGCTAGTTAATTACAGGGACGACTGAGACTCCAAGTGTCATAAGCTATGATTAGTCTCGTGTTGACTAAATTAACAACAGTGTTATTTTTGGCCTGAAAATATTTTCCTATTTTCTGAGACTCAAAAACAAAGGTTGTAGTACTCAAAACAATTCAAAATACATTTTATTCAAGAAAAATTTAAATACAATTTATATTCAGGTTAAAATAAATTATGCAGTACAGAAAAGTGGGAAGTGGAAAATAAATATATTTTTCTCACTCTCTACTTGATCCCAGAGGTGACAATCACTAACTGTTTGTTGTTCTGAAATGAATTCTAAATGCTTAGAATTTTTTTCAAAACTAAAATACTGGTCTCTAACTTTTTTAAAACTTAAAATATATGTCTTAGGGTTTATTCCATATAACCACATAGAGATATAGCTTAGTTTTTAATATGACTGCCTACTATTGACACTTTTGAGGATTACAGGCATGTTTAGAATGCCCTTAATTTGGAGTAACTTGTTATTTCCACATAATTAAATTCAGGTTATGCGTTATCTTCTAGGATTATTACAAAAGTGAGGTTGTTTTGTTCTCATTTCCTTCCACCAGGGGGCACTTCATTTTGGTTTGTCTCGATCAATGTTCACTTCGATCACTGGATTAAGGTGTTTCAGGCTTTTTCATTGAAAGCTACCCCATTTTCCTGCTTCTGTGTACAAGAAGGATTTGAGTGGCAAAAGTGCTCAGCTAAGATAAAAAATAAGTAATTACCCCGTCAAATCCTTTGTCCCAAGTAACAGGAATAATGGAATGGATCATAGAATGTTAAGCATTATTTTCCCAAAAGTGCTGAGTGTCCTAGTTTGATTCTAATTCCTTTCTAAAGGAACATACAAATAAATGAGGTATTTGTACCAGTTGTACAAGGAGGGGAAAGAACCTTTTCCTATATACGACAATTCATTTAACTCAAATTTGTTAATATATAAGTCTATAAACAACACAGAAAGTATAATCATGGTTCTTTCTATTGGCAGCTAGGTGAATATTAGAACTGATGATGGTTTTGTTTTTCTTAAAACATTTACTAAGACATAGTCATTTTTAAATAATATTAAAGTTTCGGTTTCATTTGGCTATTTTAAATTTTCATATTCATAATAAATTTGCAATTTGTATTTGCATTTTAATAAGTAATTTTGAATTCTTTAGAAGAAAAAACTTATTGAAAAGATGATGTTTAAAAATGTTTAAATTTAATTGAATTTACATTTTTGAAAAAATATTTCAAATTGCATGCGCTTAAATACAGTACAACAAAATGATGCAATGATCATGCTTGCAATATAATTACTGGTTTTGCTGAAATGAAGGCAAGGAAGATCAATATGGAATAAACATATACTTATGAATTATCTATGTATTTTCATTTATTATTAATCCAAGCATCATAACCAATTAACTAAATACCTAAATATGCAGAAAAAATGTATTTGATGTGTCTAAATATTTTGTCAATTTTCCTAACATAAAAAATACAGCTTTATAACATATCTTTCAATTGTCTTTATGAAATATATTTGTCTAAATGGGATGGAAAATATTTTATGTAACAACATACTAGCTTGATTAATAACTTTTAATATTTAGAATATAGTTACCATAATGCCTTCTGCCTCTCACCTCACAATAATACAAAGAGTGCATTTATTGAATCATCCATTCACCAACTATTATCGGCCAACTATTATGTGCCACTACTGGGACTACAGCAGTAAACAAACAAACAAAAAAGGAAAAATTCTGTTTGCTTGGAACTTAACATTTTAGTACATTTTTTACCAAAGGAGAAAGGAGACACATTCAGACATAAAGCATAGCTTTTGTCCACTTTGTATCACACATAACTTTCTCAAGTTTTCTTTATTGGCATGATAGATTTTTGCTGAAATTAATGTGGTTTTAGAAGAATATATTCATAACCACAGATAGATTTACCAGAAGCCTGGAGAAAAAGTTTGGCCTTAGGGGAAATGTTTAACGAGCAAATGACAGAAGAATAAAAATTTCAGTGTGGCCAATAATATGTTATATATTTAATGAGTAGAGTTGAAAGTGGAAAGAAGCAAGGAAAATTGAAATTTAAATTGAGTTTTTGTTTTACTTTGGAGAAATATTACAGAAGCAGAATATGCTTAATTGATTTCATAACAGGTAATATACAATCACAAAATCATATCCTCTATGTCCCCATGGAAACAAAGTGATAAACAGCTGCTGTCCACTTTACAGGCACAGAAAAGCAAGGTTAATTAGAAGTACTGTACATGCAAATTCAGTTCCATTAACGGCAAAATCAATTCAGAAAAGAGCGTTTTCACGGCATAATTTTTTTCCTAGTTCTATTAGTATTGTGTCAGATCCATATATTTGTGATTCATTAGAGAGCTTAGAAAGTGGGATGCCTGCCAAAGCCCACCTGGACTGGGAAGAAAATCATTTCAACTGCCTTGGCAACAGTCCTTTTTCTTTCTTTCAATGTAAAAATCATTCAGAATCCAGGTGACATTCAAGATAACCCAAAGTCACACTAAACAATAAAAGCATATAGACAGTAGTCGGTCTTCCTCCCACCACAAATAAGTAATAAAATCCTTAAATCACAAGCTTAATCCAGATTTTTCATATTTATCTTAAACTTAGGGAGTGTCTGTACCTTTCCTTTCACAAATAAGGATGACAACTGAGTAATGCATTTACTTTAAGATGACGTTTAGGGCTCAATTACCTGTGTGCCCCAAAGTATGGAAACAATCTTCAGTGAGTATTATGATTCCTTTATAGTGCATGGGGTTTACAGCACAAGCTGTTTTTCATCTTCAGATGTTTCTCCTGATACTTGTTCTGTTCATGCTTTGTGGATTGCAGTTACCACTCATAGTCAATATGAGCCCAAATTGATTTTTTTCTGTCTGAAAATCTTAACTCCAGAACTCCAGTATATTCTATAGTCTTTCTCCCTTTTTAGTAGTAGCCAATAACCAGAAGCTGGGATGAATTCTCCCTATGTACATTTGCTACCTATTTACAGAAATAATTTATACCTTTTTCCTGTTTTAAAAGATACACGAATAGTATTACATTCTACTTATTCTTTTGTAACTTACTTAAAAAAATATATCTATGTATTTACCACTTGTTTTATTTTTGTTGTACCGTGTTCTTTTCAATAGGAATTGCTAGGTTGTAGAATAAGCAGTTTTTCAATTATAAAACATGTTGCTAAATGGCTCTACAAAGTGTTCTCATCACAGCACTCTGGAAGAGTATTTATTTCTTCACGTACTTGCTAAAAACTCTGGTGAGAATTTTTAATTCCTGCCAAAGTAATATTTAAGAAATGATGTCTCATTTTTTATTTGATTTTCAATTCTCAGATTTCTTGTGAAGATGTGTTGATAGTTATTGGTTTCCTCTTCTGAGAAGTTCCTGTTCATATTCTTTGACCATTTATAAAATTTGGTTTTCTGGTCTGTCTTATTCTTGTTTCAAGAATAATTATTTTTTATTCTGGACAAAACCCTTTATTGGTTTTATGACTTAATAACTTCTCCAAACATATGTCTTGACATTTTAGTTGGTTTAGAGTAGTTTACTTGTCTTGTGGCGATTAATATTGAGGTAAATAACTGTATCAATCCTCTTTATGATTTATGCATTTTACGTCTTATTTTAAAAATTCTACCTACCATAATGTGATAATGTAATTCTACATTTTCTCCTGAAATCTTACTTTTAAGTCTTTATCTTTGACATCTTCGTCTTTGTCTTCTGTTTTAAGCATTTTAAAGTTCTTTTGGCTATTTTTGTACCTTTTACATCTTCCATGTGCGGTCTAACATTGGCTTACCATTTTCTTTGGAAAAAAAAATTAACTAGTAGTTCATTGGATGAATAAATTAATTTTGAAAGAATATTGGTGATAGACAAGAAGAGCTTGAATTCAGTGACCAGATAGATGCATTCACCAGAGCTGGGAGAAAGGTAGCTTATCTATAAAGACAGAAGTCAGCCAAGGCAGGCGGATCATGAGATCAGGAGATGGAGACCATCCTGGCCAATATGGTGAAACCCCGTCTCTACTAAAAATACAAAAATTAGCTGGGCGTGGTGGCGCGTGCCTGTAATCCCAGCTACTCAGGAGGCTGAGGAAGGAGAATCACTTGAACCAGGGTGTCTGAGGTTGCAGTGAGCCAAGATCGTGCCTCTGCACTCCAGCCTGGCGAGAGAACGAGACTCCGTCTAAAAAAAAAAAGAATAGAGGTAATGGCTGCGCTAACAATAATCTTGATGGACATGTACTGCAGTCACACCAGATGCTGTGCTCAGAGGAGACCTGTGCTTAGCTCAACTATCTGTTGTCGCCATCTTGAAACTTTAACAAGGAGCCTACTTTTTCATTTTATACTGGGTTCCAGTATCTTACAGCCAATCCTAGCAAGTATATGGGTACAGTTGCAAAACATGGACAGATAGTGTAGCTGGTGTATATGAAAGTTCTCTTCTGTTGGCTTTTATATCTTTCAAAAAAATGGGGAAGTAAAGGTCGTTTGTCTCCCTGTGCTGCATTCTAGGTTATTTTCCTAGGTCTCATATTCAATTAATTATTTCTTTCTGTGCCTTATCTGAAATTTGAGTGGATCAATACATTTATAATTATAATACCTATATTTTAATTTTAGAAGTCCTACTTAATTCCTTTTCAAAACTGACTTTTCTATGAATTTGGTGCTTTGGGCTTAATGATTTTAGTTTCTTGTTTTGTCTTTAATAACTCTATATACATTATTTTTCTACTCTTTTCTAAATATGGTTTTTCTATTTTTTGAAGTTCTTAAGACTATTGGCTATGTCTGCCAATAATTACTTATGATGCTAATAATTTGGAAATGTACTCAGCTTCACAGTGAAATTATTTCTGAAAATTCTGTCTTGGATTATGTATCTTTTCAGAGATTATGCATTTTTATATATTAGATATCCCAAATGACTGCTATTAGCCCACACGGGAACATTTTGCTATCATTTCTACAGACAATGCATTTCATATAATTGTCATAATGTACTAAAACAAAACAACTTACTGCCAAAACTGAAAAAAAATGTAATAGAAAAAGTACAACTATAATGTCAAAGTTATGACTCACTTCTCTTGAAAGTAATACCATTGTGCAATGCAAAGTCTGCACAAAATTTTATAAAGTTGTGGTCTTACCTGTTTTTAGGTTTTTTAATGAAACCAGCTTCTAAGCTTATTTTCCACTCCTACTGGCATTTCTAAACCATTGGAATTGTGCAAATTTGACCATGAACTCACCTAAGAAACATACTCATTGCTGTGAATTATCAAAGGAAACTTGTTTTTTGGCTCTAACCACAGCAAATAGTCATCTGATCTACTTCTGTAGGTGAATAGAGATTTCCCTAGACTTCCTTTTCAGTAATTGTGTAACCTTTTTGTAGAGTCTCAGTATTTTGCAGTTGCGTCAGTTCTAACTTCCTGTGTCATATAGACTCAAAACGTATTTCCTGTCCACATGAGTATGTGAAACCAAACTTAATAGCCAGACATAGCCGCAAGACCAGCTCACTATTTCCATTTTATCCCTCATTTTGTTTTCTTCCCCTGACCCTGAGGATTTTACATTTTTTCCTATAAACATAGCAATACATTTTATCAGAAAAGTTATATTTCTAGTCAGCACTTCGAGGCATTTGTAGCATAAAAGTTTAGTATTAATTTATTCTACCAACATTAATTTATTGCTTCCATTACAAAAATTTTAATTACATTCCATTAACTCAGGAATTTAAATTTTCTCTTCGAAACAAGAGGCTACAACCACCAGGCAAAAGTTTTTGAATACTAGCCCACTGTTAAAATATTTATAATATTTTTCACGTCCTTACTCCAACACATTTGTTTTTACTCTCAATAGAGGATTTTATTTTGTTTTGGGAGAAATAGGAGACAGCTAGATAGATAATGTGCTACCAAACTTCCTATTCCTCACCAGCAATCTTTTCTCTATCCATACCTTTTTGTCTCAGTTGTATGGTTCATGGTTGAGTTGACGCAAACAGAATATACTGTAAGTAGTTTAAGGGTAAATGTATTTATTACAGTGTTCTAAATGGATTATAAATTATTGAGAGGGCTTAAGAAAGAGACATATAAATATCTAATAGCAGAACTGTGCTGCCAGCTTATCAGCAGCTCTTCCCAGAATAAGGAACTTATGTGTTCATTGATAAGTTGTCTTCATAGCTGTTGTCTCCAAACACACTCACACACACACACACACACACACACACACATGCTACTATTACACCTGCTGGGTTCAGAACCATGCTGCCTCTTTTATAGTACTGACCACCAATTAGAGAACCATGCACTGTGCTTCTCTTGTCAATCAATAATCTCAGTTGTAATTCCAAGTCTCGTGTGAGCTCATTTGATTATGGAACCTGAAACACATTTGGAATTCTAGCTATGAGATAATCTGGAATTTGTTTTAAGCTTTCCTGTCTCTGCAACATAGAAAGAAATACTAAAAGAAAGCTGGGATAAATATTGAACATTTTCCACTCACACTACTCTTGGAAGTTCCTCTTTCCAAGGTTTTCATATTTATTAAGTCAAATGGACAGTTTTCAATGACTATCTTGCCCTCCAGAATTTGACCTCTTCACATAACTTGAGATTAGTCACTGTTTCTTTCTAAAAAATTTCACCTGATTGCCTGTCTCTGCCTTAGTCTTATTTCAAGTTCTTCTTTCTCTGCCCATCTATCAGTTGGGATTTTTCCCAAGTGTTCATATACTTCTTTCAGCTAATCTGAAGACTACATCTAATTTATTTCTCTTAGCTGTTGGTATCAAATAATCATACCTGTATTGAATTACAAATATTGTTTTTCTAATACTTCCAAACATAGATACTATTATATAATTACCTATGGCATATACCCCTTGGATATTACAAAGACATATAAAGCTGAACTACAACCCTGATTGTCTAAATCTATGATTTTTGTTGATATCCTAGTAGTTTTTCTTAATTTCTTATTTCCCGTAGGTCCTGTGGGTTATAGCTCATGAATAGTTTTTCAATCTTTTCCATCTCTTCTATTCTCACAGCTACCACCTTGGTTCTTCATTTGTTATTCAGCAGTCACTATAGTGGTCTCCCTAGCTGCAATCTTGGCTTCTAATCTAGCTTTCAAATTGATGTCAATATGATGCTTTAAAAACAAAATTCCAATCATGTCACTCTGTATGTAAAATTTGATGCATCAATTTACAAATATCTATCAAGCATTTACCATGTTCCAAGCATAATACAAAATAGGCATAGTTCTAGTCATCTCAGAGTTTATCATCGAAAATACTGATTCGACTGGTCTACCTAGCATATGATACCAAGAATGAATTATTTACTTAACAATTCTCTCCCATATATGACAAAATTATTTTCAATAATGACCACGAAGTTAAATTGTACATAATACTTGAGGCATTAGATATGCCAAACAAAATAACAAATATTCAGTAATTAATAAGTGAATTTTAATACAACTGGAATTTCTGCAAAACAATTTAAGTTATATTAAATAACTGCCATTTTATTTATCTGTTATTTAGTTTTCCAGTAATCAATTAACAGTTATAAAAAAGAATGCATTTCAGTTTTAACTATGTATTTTTAAATTAGGTAATATTTTTCATACATGGGATAAAATTTGCACTTACCTAAAATATTGTTCCTCCCAGTTCAGACTCTGTTTCAATGTTTAAAAATTTAAATGCATGCATGCACACAAACTCCAAGTGAGCAAATAGAATAACAAAATTCAAATAATGTAAATTTTGTTTCCCCCTCTTAGAAACTTTTCTTTCATATTTATTTTGAGTTTACTCTTTAAATGCAGGAATCGGCGGTTCTCCAGGGGTCGGAGACCAAATGGCACAGAAGGGGAACTAAAATGATTCAAGATTGTTGTGAATTGGGTGTTCTGTATGATTAGGAGTTCTCAGAATTAACTTCCATGTAGAAAACATGGAAGTTTACTAAAGGGTACCTAGCAAAGTTGAGCTATTTGAAGCTTACTATTCCTATTTGTTGATAACATAACAAACCGCTATTAGCGAGTGGTTTAAAACAATGACTATCTTTTATTTCGTTTGCAAACCTGCAATACCAGTAGGCTCAGTGAAAACAGTCTGTGTCTGTTCCATGTGAAATCAACTGGGGAAACTAGGGAAACTAGGTGCTGGCATCTGAGAAGTCATTCACTCAGCAATCTACCAGTTGATTCTTGCTCTCATCTGGAACTTAAGCTGAGAATGAATCAAAGAGAAATAGCACTGGGTTGAGTTAAACAGGTGAAGAAGACTTTATTCAAGACTATTGTAGTAGGGATCAAGCCTATTACAATACGGAGAGAGACTGAATTCAACTCCACTGAAAACAAAAGTCAGGAGAGTCTTAAGCACTGGGGCTAGCTAAGGAAACAGTGGTGGATAATGTTAGGGCGGAGGTTGGTCAATGTGATTAGCCATCTGTGTTTGCTAATTGGTATTTATCAAAGTTAGGCTCCTACCTAAGTAATCATCAAGAAAGATACTACCCCATCTCTCATAGAGACTGGGAGATGGGCTAATTTTTTGTTGATGATTACATTTCAATGGTTTAGCTCTCAGGTCCTTGGGAAAGACTTCTCAGGACTGCAAAACTGTCAAGAGGCTGGGAACCGATGGATATTTCAAAGGGGCAAATAAGTAATTTACAATTGCAAGTTTTCTAAAGTTAATGCTCTAAGAACAAGAAGATTAGGGGCTCACAGTTAGTAAGAAAACTGTATAATGCTTTGTCAAAATGAGGGGAACATGAGTGTTTTAAGTCTATCTTGGTCAAGTGCCATCAGGAACATCTACATGTGTCCTCTGAAAATGACTGCTTGGCTTCCTCGCAGTAAGGGTGGCTGGGGGTCAAAAGCAAACATTCCCTTTCAAGAAGGAGTTTCTATGACTTAACCTCAAAAGTCATATTGAGCATCTCTTCTGCTGCATTGTGTTTATTGAGACAGTTAACAAAAGTCTATCCGAGGAAAAGTAGAGAGGAAGAAGTTTACACTTCTTGATAGGAGAGTGACAAAATTCTGGAAAAGCATATTATTACATCTGTTTTTGGAAAATACAATCTGCCACCCTGGCACACATATTATTAAATATCAACAATAAGTGTAGAAATTGTTTGCAACTACACCAACATTTTTTTTAGGAGTATTATCACTGACATAGTTTAGAATTGCTGATGCCTAATAAAGAAATGCCAACTAAGTTGATTTTTGTATTAGTACCTTTTCATACCGCTATGAAGAAATACCCTAGGCTGGGTAATTTATACAGAAAAAGAGGTTTAATGGACTCACAATTCCACATGGCTGGGGAGACCTTACAGTCATGATGAAAGGCAAAGGAGGAGCAAAGGCATGCCTTACATGTTGGCAGGCAAGAGAGTGAGTGCAGGGGAACTGCCCTTTATAAAGCCATCAGATTTCCTGAGAGTTATTCACTATCAGGAGAACAGCATGGGAAAAACCCACCCCCATGATTCAATTACCTCACACTGGGTCCCTCCCTTGATACATGGGGATTATGGGAGCTACAACTCAAGATGAGATTTGGGTGGGGACACAGCTAAACCATATCAGTCTGCCCCAGCCCCTCCCAAATCTTATGTCCTCACATGTCAAAACCAATGATGCCTTCCCAACAGTCCCCAAAAGTCTTAACTCATTTCAGTATTAACCCAAAAGCCCAGGTCCAAAGTCTCATTTGAGACAAGGCAAGTCCTTTCTGGCTATGAGCCTGTAAAATCAAAGCAAGTTAGTTACTTCCTAAATATAATGGGGGTACAGGCATTGGGTAAATACACCCATTCTAAAGGGGAGAAATTGGCCAAAACAAAGGGGCTACAGGCCCCATGCAAATCCAAAACCCAGCAGGGTAGTCATTAAACCTTAAAGTTTCCAAATGATCTCCTTTGACTCCATGTCTCACATCCAGATCACACTGATAAAAGAGACGGATTCCCACGGCTTTGAGCAGCCTCACCCTTGTGGCTTTTCAGGATACAGCCCTCCTCCCAGTTGCTTTCACAGGCTTGCTTTGAGTGTCTGTGGCTTTTGCAAGCTCACAGGGCAAGCTATTGGTGGATCTACTGTTCTGGAGTCTGGAGGACAGGGGCCCTCTTCTCACAGCTCCATTAGGCAGTGCCTCAGTGGAGACTCTCTGTTACTGGGAGTAAGTGTAACACAGAGACTCTGCGTGGGTGACTCCAACCCTACATTTGCCTTTTGCACTACCCTAGCAGAGGTTTTCCATGAGGGCTCCACGCATGCAGCAAACTTCAGCCTGAACATCCATGCATTTCCCTACATCTATTGAAATGTAGCTGGAGGTTCCCAAACCTTAATTATTGTCTTCTGTGCACCTGCAGGGCCAACACCACATGGAAAATGCCAAGACTTGGGGATTTCACCATCTGAAACATGGCCTGAGCTATATGTTGGCCTCTTTTAGCCACAGTTGGGATGCAAGGCACCAAGTCCTGAGACTGCTCAAAGCAGCAAGGCCCTGGGCCTCACCTATGAAACCATTTTTACCTCCTAAGCCTTGGTGCCTATTATAGGAGGGGCTGCTGTGAAGACCTCTGACTTGCCCTGGAGACATTTCCTCTTTGCCTTGATGATTAACATTTGGCTCCTCGTTACTTGTGCAAATTTCTGC
The DNA here is from genome assembly GCF_000001405.40 of Homo sapiens. Taxonomy (NCBI): domain Eukaryota; kingdom Metazoa; phylum Chordata; class Mammalia; order Primates; family Hominidae; genus Homo; species Homo sapiens. The sequence goes on from NC_000002.12 coordinate 187,591,842, forward strand.
AGCAGGTTTGAATTTTTTCCCCTGAAGATGGGTTTTTCTTTTATATTGTATCATCTGGTTGCAAATTTTCAAAACTTATGCTCTGCTTCTCTTTTAAACATACGTTTTAATTTCAGATTATCTCTCTCAAGTTCAAAGTTCCCCAGATCTCTAAGGCAGGGACAAAATGCTGCCACTCTCTTTGCTAAAGCATAGCAAGAGTGACTTTTGCTCCAGTTCCCAATAACTTCCTCATCTCCATCTGAGACCACCTCAGCTGGACTTCAGACACTATCCTTTTCAAAATGGCTGTGGGCAAGTGGGAATCTGTAGTTTTGTTCACCACGTGTTTTTGTGTTTACCAGTTTTGCTAGGTAAGCACAGCTTACATAGGACAGTAATCTTATGATTTATGGAGGGAAATCAGTTACCATTCTATTTGGAGAAAGCTTTCATGTTCTTCAAATAATTATCCAATTATCTTTATATAGGCTCTTCTATAGAGACAGTAAATCTGGAATGCTTAATCTTTCATCACTGTTCTAATTATTTAGTATTTTAGATTCTATTTAATCAGTCTGTTTACTGGAACTTTTAACTGAATATCTTCTTTTTTATTTGTTTTTTTTACATCTCATAAAGGCACATAGAGCATGTATTACACAGAATGATTTTTTAACACTTCCTACATGCAATAGCTTGGGTTATACACTTAAATAACTTGCTTATTTGTGAAATTCCTGTGACACATACTGAATGAAACTTTTTTATTTGTTCTCCCCAGAATGTTTTCAACTGCCCTTGTGCACGACTAAACATTTTCCATCTGTGATTTGCTCAGTTTGTTTTTCATGTTGTTACTAGATTTCCTGTTTTATTTATTGTTTCTGAATCAGTGAACCAAGGTTACCCACTTTCCAAGGGAGGAGATCCTTGGAGTCTGAATCCATATGCTCCTTTTAACATCTTCAGGTTATTAATGAAGACATTTGATAGATATTAGGTATAGTAACAATGGCGCATAAACTATAGCACTTATGTCTACACAATCAGGTAAAATATTAGTTAAAGACATAAGTCAATCCCTATATGTAACTTGAAATCTGTATTAAGGTTATCCAGAGAAACAGAGCCAATAGAATATACGTGTATATATCAGTATTTATCACTGACATTGTTTAGAATTGCCAGTGCCTAATAAAGAGCAACTAAGTATATATATACGTATATATACATATATATACGTATATATATACATATATAAAAAACTAAGTATATCTATTTTATATACACACATACCAAGTATAACTAAGTATACTTATGTATATAAAAGAAAATTTATTATGTGAATTGGCTCATATGACTATATAGGCCAAGAAGTCCACAATATGCTACCTACAAACTGGAGAATCAGAAAAGTCAGTGTTGTAATTCAATCTGGGTCTGAAGGCCTGAGAACTGGGAGCTCACAGTATAATTCCCAGTCCAAGGCCAAAGGCCTGAGAACCAGAGGTAGTGGGGGCAGCTGGTATAAATCTCAGAGTTTGAAAGCCCAAGAATCAGGAACTCTAATATCTGAAGTCAGAAGAAGATGGATACCCCAGCTCAAGAAAACAGAGAATTTGCCCTTACTGCCACTTTTTATACTATTTGGGCCCTCATCAGATTGTATAAGGCCCACCCACATTGGTGCAGGTGGAACTTTGTTATTCAGTCTACCGATTCCAATGCTAATCTCTTCCAGAAACACCCTCTCAGGCACACCAAGAAATAATGTTTTATCAACTATTTGGAGGTTCTTTAACCTAGTTAAACAGACACATAAAATTAGCTATCACCATACCAATAAATCAATTTGGTCATCAAAGAAGCAAAACTCAAAGGAGTAGACATTCAAAAGATTAACTGAGGAATCACCAATGAAGGATAAGTTAAAGAGAGCAGGGGGAGGCAAGAAAAGCATTCAGACCATGAGGCAGGTCTAACACCTATGCAAGGAGAAAAAGTAGGGAAAATTGAAGAGCCAGAGCTTCAGACCACAGCATATTTCTGACATTAGCCACTGACTGCTGGGGAAATGTCTGAGGAAACGTTGCCTGTTCAAAGAACCTTGTACTAAGCAAGTATCTTAATTCTAGGGTTCTAGACCCACACTGTACTCACTGTCTGAGAGCAGTCTGGAATGCCTCATGGATGAAAAAGTACAGTAACTGGAGAGTTTCAAAGAGTTTTACTCTCTTATTTTGCATATGAAAACATTGTATGCAAAAGAGAGTATTGCCTAATTAAGATACATAGTAACTGCTTAAAAAACACTTTTGGAAGAAATATAAAGTCTACAAAGAAACTTAATATAGGGTTTTGAAGAATATATTTTAATTCAGTGGGAACTGGATTGTTTATGTAATAAATGTTATTGATGAGATTATTTAATCATCTGCTAGAAGAAAAGTAGGAATTTTACTTTATTTACTCACTTAAGAATAATTGTCAATCAAGTAAGTAACTAAATGAAAAGGAAAGTAGTAAATATATTGCAAGAATAATAGTAAAAATTTGAAGTGCTATAGATCTTTCTGAACAAAGAAGGTAATTCAGAATCTATAAAGTAAAAGATGGGTATATATTTATGCATACTTGTTATTGTATGGCAAAGGATACCACAAAATAGCTTAAGACAAATAAATAACAGCTAAATATGTATATCATCATAAATTATACAGTTATTACTGCCTATAAACATGTCCTGTAAATTAAAAGACAAATATCAAACTAGATAAATGACAGTTGTCACAGACATCATTAGTCACCATCAAATATTCACCAAGTGTAGCTCGCATATTTCCCAGTCTTAGTTATAGTTAGACTGAGGCCATAGGACTAGTCATTGTGAGAAGTGATAGTTATATTTTGGAGCTAAGGCTGCCATAAGCTGTGTCTCCTCTATAATTCTTTGCTTCTTGGAAGATTATTATTTTCATTCTCTTAATGATTAACTGGTTTTTATTTTCAGCAAGTGATGTTTTAAGGATACAGTCTTAGAAAATTTAAAATAAACAGAAAAAAGTATGCAGTTAATTATTTAATAATGCATTTTCCTTTGCTTTTGGCAAATCTAAATAATATTCCTTGAATTAATCTGAGTAGTCACTGGATGTCACTGTTGCTTTACCACATATGACTGTTTTGTTTATAAAGACAATTATTTAAGGTATTTTCTAAATAAGCACTTTATTAAAAGAAGCAAATCCACATCATAAATATCTGTCAATAATGTTTAGGTCAAAGCCACATACGATATCAAGAATTTTAAAACATTTCATTTTTAAATTTACATGCTATGTGTTTCTTCCTAGGCTTATAGACATGCTTCAAAGAGCATTCATTGAGGAAATTTTACAGTATTAAAGAAGTTATTTGAACAATGACTGCTTTTTCAAAATAGAGAAATAGGCTTTAGGTTACATATGGTGCATGAATAACATTTTACAAATTAAAAATTATAACACACAAAACATTTAAAATGATATGTGCATGTATACTCAAATATTAGAAATGTATATATTTAATATAAAATTGGAATAAGTTTATTCTATAGCTATCTTTCCACTTCAATATGATATATTTACTGAAAATTTTATGTTTAAAATATTTTCCCTTAGGAAAAAAAAAAGTTTGAAGGAAAGTAGTTTATCACAACTACCATATAACTGCAAGAGAGTATAACTACCAGATGAAACTGTGTATACAGATCAGCTTATTTTGCAAAGTGCTTTACGCAAAAACTGTTCCTACACTTGTGCTTCCATGCTTCGAACAGGCCCCACCCACCACCCCATTGTCTGGCTAAACTCTTCTCACCTTAATATCCTTTCCTCAGGGACTGCTATACTGAAACTTATTAGTTACATCATCTTAGGACGTTACTTTTTACTTTTTTTTATTTTATTTTTTTCATTTACCACCCAGGTCATTACCAGTTGAATGTCTACTTACATTACTGGGCTGTAAACTTCCTGAAGGTGGCACAGTATCTGCTTTATTGATTGTTTATATCCAATAGCACATAAAAATTATACATAAACGTGTTAAATAGTAAAATTTCATGAAACAATAACCCCTTTAGCACTGTAAAAAAAAAGTTACACTAAATGTGATTCATAAACATAAAAATATTACTAAAATTTGGAAGGGAGGGATTGGGATAAAGCTCTAAATCTGAAATAAATTACATTTGTCAAATAAGCTTTCAACTATTCCCTGGATTGAAGAACATGTGAATACATATAGGGAGACTTTCAAAACTCACATCTTTTCATACAGCATTTTCTACTGTGTTCTACTTTGGATCATAGATCTACATTTACCGTCACTGAGAAAATAATGATAAAACATTGTTTACATATGCCAATGATCGACTGACAGTGTTAAATTGTAACACAAAGAATAAAATAAATGTATGAAAATACATACTAACATAGATAAATGATACAATAGATAGATCATGTCGGAGAAATGACAAAACTTTCTTACCAAAGAACGATATTCAAATAGTAAATGTAGACAGAAAGAGAGAAATAGAAATTTACCATAGCAATACAAGTGTGTGACACTTTAAAGAGAAATAGCATATCTGCAAGTGTTCAAAATATCTCCTTGAAAATATGTATTACTTACTTAGGTGATTTTTAACATATGTCCACAAATTATTTGATATCCCTCTCACAAGGAGATGATACTTAATTCCCTTCCATGTGTGCTGGAGAAACCTGTCAGGCACCGCTTAACCAAATGATGAAGGTTAATATCACTAGTAATAAGTCCTGTTGACATCATTCATATACCCCTTGATATGTGGTGAGAAAGCCACTTTAGCTTTCTGGTATTTTTTGTAAAATCCATAACTCAAGTCTAATCAAGAGGAAACACCTGACAAAGTCAAATGAAGGAATGATGTACAAAATACCTTACCAGTACTCTTCAAATGAGTCAAGGTCATGAAAGAAAAGAGAAGACTGAAAAACTGTCACAGTTTTGAGGAGACTAAAGAGCATTGTTACTAAATGCCATCTGGTATCCTGGATTGGACTATGGAATATAAAAAGGACATTAGTGGAAAAACTAGTAAAATTTAAATAAAGTCTATAGTTAAATAGCATTATGGATATTGAGGTTAATTTATTAGTTTTGTTAAAGATACCATCGTTATGTAAATATTAACAGGGAAAACTGAGTAAAGAGTATGGGAAAACATTCTGTTCTGTATCTGAATCTCCTTTGGAAATATTTCAATTTCAAAATATTTGTAAGCAAGATATGATTATTCCTGTTACATATCTATTCCTAAATCTGATACAAATAGCACTTCTAGTATGTTATATTAGTTACATAACATAATATTACTGAGTCTTGCAAATATGTATACAAGTTATATTGTTAGGCACCTGACTAGATTTATATAATAAAAAATGAATCCTCTTACTTTCTTTATGCTAGGGTCTATCAGTTTTATGTTTTTTAGGCACAAAAGCAGAAATAGTTGCAGTACAGGCTATAGGTTCCTCAGAATACAGATTAATGCTGGAGTTACACAAAACTTTCCAAAGGATACAAAATTCCTTTTAGATGTTCCTGTTTTCATGAAGGAGTTGGAATTCAAGTTTGGATCTCTGTATTGCATAGAAATGCAACAAGATCAAAACATCCTGGAATTTCCAGAACAACATTATTACAGAAGGTTTCTGGGCACCTAAAATTGACATAATAACAGGAACACAGAGTCCAAATGAAGCAGGTAAGTGAATACTTCAAAAGAAAATCACCTTTTCTTATTTGGTCCTGCGTATTTTCAAAGATTCCATAGAATTTTCAGACTGTTACTCTGATGTTTACTTGGTAGATTTTTTTTTCATGTTTCTTTACAATTTTATTATTATTATACTTTAAGTTTTAGGGTACATGTGCACAATGTGCAGGTTAGTTACATATGTATACATGTGCCGTGCTGGTGTGCTGCACCCATTAACTCGTCATTTACCATTAGGTATATCTCCTAATGCTATCCCTCCCCACTACCCCCACCCCACAACAGTCCCCAGAGTGTGATGTTCCCCTTCCTGTGTCCATGTGTTCTCATTGTTCAATTCCCACCTATGAGTGAGAACATGTGGTGTTTGGTTTTTTGTCCTTGCGATAGTTTACTGAGAATGATGATTTCCAATTTCATCCATGTCCCTACAAAGGACATGAACTCATCATTTTTTATGGCTGCATAGTATTCCATGGTGTATATGTGCCACATTTTCTTAATCCAGTCTATCATTGTTGGACATTTGGGTTGGTTCCAAGTCTTTGCTCTTATGAATAGTGCCGCAATAAACATACGTGTGCATGTGTCTTTATAGCAGCATGATTTATAGTCCTTTGGGTATATACCCAGTAATGGGATGGCTGGGTCAAATGGTATTTCTAGTTCTAGATCCCTGAGGAATCGCCACACTGACTTCCACAATGGTTGAACTAGTTTACAGTCCCACCAACAGTGTAAAAGTGTTCCTATTTCTCCACATCCTCTCCAGCACCTGTTGTTTCCTGACTTTTTAATGATTGCCATTCTAACTGGTGTGAGATGGTATCTCATTGTGGTTTTGATTTGCATTTCTCTGATGGCCAGTGATGATGAGCATTTTTTTCATGTGTCTTTTGGCTGCATAAATGTCTTCTTTTGAGAAGTGTCTGTTCATATCCTTTGCCCACTTTTTGATGGGGTTGTTTGTTTTTTCTTGTAAATTTGTTTGAGTTCATTGTAGATTCTGGATATTAGCCCTTTGTCAGATGAGTAGGTTGCGAAAATTTTCTCCCATTTTATAGGTTGCCTGTTCACTCTGATGGTAGTTTCTTTTGCTGTGCAGAAGCTCTTTAGTTTAATTAGATCCCATTTGTCAATTTTGGCTTTTGTTGCCATTGCTTAAAGGCCAGAGAAAACTCCAGCAATTAAGCAAAATGAGCCACTAGACACAAAAGCTTTGAGAGGAGAACTACAAAAGATAAATTTATCATTAAAGATGAAGATTAGAAGGTTTCTGGAGACCAAAGAAACTGGAAACTGGGACAAGAAAAGTTAAGGAAAACGAGCTTGAGAGCAAGACCTTATAAAATCTTTATCAGCCCTAATTGTCTCCAGAGAAATGTGAAAAAAATACCCCTAGAATCCAGGTAAATCCAATAAGAGAGAATGTTTAATATGAAAAGTATTGATGATGCATCTTGCTCCAAGAACACTGTGACTGGAAAATGGCAGAGGGAGTTTTTTTTTTTTTTTTTTTTTTTTTAAAAAGCAATAATTGCTTTAGAAACCCCATCATCATAATGGAAAGAGATTCCTGCTCCGCTCAACAAGGCACTCAGGTCTCAGCTGAGTTTGAGTCCAGAGACAGTTACAGCAACTCACCCCACCTTTCCAGACCCACCTATATGGACTCATATTTGGGCCACTTCCAACCTTTTGAGGTGTGATTTAATAGCTTGACACTAAAACATTCCCTGAATGACTCCCTCAGAAAGTTAGACTGAAAAGCCCTCAGATTTCATCCAGATAAGCAACCTCATGGTAAAAGTCCAACTCCAGAAGACAGAAGCACATGGTTTAAGTCTCTGTTGTGTTTCTAGTAAGCTGTGACCTACTGGATCCAAATCTTTTCATAGACTTTAATCCTCTAACCAAATCTTTAGCTATAAACATGAGCTTTCACAGATAAAGTGAAAATGACCAAACAGTGGCTAAAAAAAAAAAAAAAAAAAAAAAGAAAAAGAAAATCACCAGGATTCAAAACACTCTCATAATATAAATGTTTTCTTATCTATGATCCTTTATTCTTTAATAAACATTCCATACAACAAGTAATTATAGATAATTACTATAATTAGTAGTAGCTAGAGCTAATGGCCTTGGTCTGTGGTGTGCAATATAGACACATGTACAGACACATGAAACATTGTCCTCTCTGTGCACTGAAGTACCTATTAGTGGCAATCATTGTTGGTCCTTGGAGGATGATTTTTGCAAGAGTCTTCTAAAATACAGACTGAAAAAATTGACATACTGTAAGTCATAGTTATAAAACATATAAGAAAATATGTATTTATGCACAGTTAATTAGATGTTTTGTCCCACTGAATACTTACGCTGGCAAACACTTGTATCTTAAACTAACCAAACAAAAACTATCACCTCACAGTTTACAAGAGACTGCAATAAAATTCACAGTACATGCTAGAGTTTATATGACAGAGTTATATAGAAAATTTGAGCTCATTTTAAAGACTAAATATTTTGAAATGGACAAAAAGGAAAATCAAAATTATATGAATTATTGTGTTGTTAACCTCAGTAATGTAGATTCAAAAGTAGTCGTGAAATGTCCCTTTTCCCTTTTGTAATAAAATCACACTGATAAAATTCTGGTCTACACTAATAGGACCTGTGGCTTTTTTAAAGGACAGGTAGTGTTTAATACAGATTCTAGAAAGTGACTTGGGTCACTATCTCTTTCATGGTAATGTTGACTTCAAAATTATTGCATACTGCAATCTTGCTTGTCATGGTAAATGTGTGAATACATTTTAGTGATATTAATAACAAAATAACAATGAGATTTTTGTCTTGCAAATACCTATAATTAATTTTTTATTGATAGACTATTGCCATTGGTATAAATTATGTAACATATGTAGAAAAAATAAAGTATAATAGGATCAAATTTGTATTATAATAGTAGGCAAAGGAAAGAAACTGACCACATATCTGAGAAATAAAAAACATATAAATATAGGTGATGGAGAAAGGTTTTAAGGAATTCAAACTACTTACCATGAATAGTAAAGCACACATATATCATATCTGAGAAATAAGAAATATATAAATACAGGTGATGTAGAAAGCATTTAGGGAATTCAAGCTACTTACCATGTACAGTAAGGTAGAAATACAAGAGTTTGGTACTGGTATTAATGATAGCACTTTTTAATATAACACTAGTCTGTGGAAGACTGTTAATTTCTCCCACTATTAGGGTGGCCATATAATTTATGGTTCTCTAAAAGTCAAAGGGTCTTAAATCTGAAGAGATTCTGGAAGAACAGGTGTGCTTAACTTGTGCAGCAAAGTGGGATATGCGGTCATCCCTCTTAAGATTCATTCTCTACTAATTTTATAATAATGACATTTTAAAACCAGAGTCATGTCTTGCCAAACAAAGATTACTTTTTCCAGCTTCCCTTAAAGTTACATGCAGCCATGTGTTTAATTCTGCTGTCTGGAATATCACTGGTGGTAAACTATTTTATATCAGATAGACAAGGGCATGAACTAAGAATGGCAAAGAGTGTGGAAGGAGCTTCATATCATGTCATGATATCATAACTAACATTCCTGATTTTTATGGAATAGAGTCACGTAACAGCCAAGTTTTTTAATGAGATAAACTTATATGTCCTTTTAAACTACTGTTATTATATGTCTGCCATCTGCAACTTAACTTATCCTCACATAAAAACACAAAATATAATAATATGCCTAATAGAACATATATAGCAAAGAATAAAAATGTATAGCAAAAATATTTTTTCAGACTATTGGAAATAGTAAGATGTATTGCTTTAGATAATTATTAATTTCTTTAGAGTAACAACCTAGGAAATAAGTGGAAAGCATGTATATGGGAATCCAAGCAATTAAATTAATCAATAAGATATGAAGTAATGTATTAATTTTAGGAAAATTATGGTGACCAAAGAGTAACTGAATCAACCAATCTATATCTGTCTGTCTGTCTATCTACCTGAGACAAAAATGTTGTTACTAGAAAATTTGCATACTCAGCCAACATTGAATAGAATAAATTCAATAAAATTAATATGATCAAACATGTATGTCCATGTAGCTGATACAGGTTGTGTATCACTTATTCAAAAATGCTTGGGACCAGAAGAAATCGTTCAGATCTTAGATTTGTTTGTATTTTGTAATATTTACATCTACATAATAAGCTATCTTGAAGACAGAACCCAAGTCTAAACATGAAATACATTTATGTTTCATATACACCTTATACACATCGCCTGAAAGTAATTTTATAATGCTATTTAAATAATTATGTGCATGAAACAAATTTTTAACTGCATTTCTGTTGTAACCCATCATATGAGATCAGGTGTGAAATTTTTCACTTCTGATGTAATGTTAGCACTCAAAACGTTTTGGATTCTTTTTAGCATTTCGAATTTTCGGTTTTCAGATTAGGGATCCTCATCCTGTATAATTAATTACTACCCTAATTAATGCTTGATTATATATTATAAAGCAGGAAATCAATGCAAAACATGTATAGCAATATAATGTATCTTAAAATGCAGCTTATGTTTTTCTCGATTTATTTTCTTATATTTTGATAAGACCAATGCTAAATTACTTTGAAGACTACTTTTGCTATGCAATCTATTATGTTCCAAAAGCTAGTCATTGTTTTGCCTCTCTACCCTCAAAATCACTCCCCATGCCTTATATTTTATATAATCTTGTAATTTATAAAATGTTTTTGTATCCATACATGATCTTGATTGGTTGACAAGCAAGTTTCAAGCTTTGGCATGCATTTTATGTATTTCTTCATACAAACAACCTAAACACGTTGGATTAAATAGGTGTCAACAAGTTTTTCTTTAAAGAGCCATATAATTATCTGTGGACCACATGAAGTTCTTGTTGAATATTATTGTTATTAATATTATTATTATCATTTCTTAGAAATATAAAACATTTAACTTTTCAGCTCAAAGTCCCATACATAAATAGTTTGCAAGTTGGATTTGGCATGTGGTTTGCAGTTTCCCAGCCCTGGTTTAAAATGACACCATTTTATTTCCTTATAATTCTGTGGATCAGAAATTTGGGCTGGATTTAGCGAGGCTATTATTTTGCTGGTCTCACCTGAGGTCACTGTTAATGGTTGTGGTCAACTGACAGCTCAACTGTTACTGTATGGTCTCAGACAGGCTGATTCACATGTCGGGGGTTGGTGCTGGTTGTACAGTGTGCTGCTTTCTCTAAGTGGTCTCTCTCATCCTCAGGAGGCTGGCCCCAACTTCTTCACATAGTTTTCTCCAGGCCCTAAGAGGGAAATACGGGGAGCTGCAAGTAACAAGACTAGCCTTGTTTCAAAGGGTGGAGAAATGGACACCGCCTATTGATAGGAGAGTTCAAAGCCACATTATAAAGAAGTATGTATACATAGACAGGAGTTATTATAGTAGTTATCTTTATAAGCAATATTTCAATTTTTAAAGATCTTGAAACTTTATCATTTTTTTGTTTAGTAATAATACTTTTTCCTGGAAGGGAGTCATTTGACAAACTAAACATAAATCCCAATTTACTAATTTTCATAGGATTTATGACTGCTAGGTAGTCCAGAATGCTTGTGCCAGCCAAAATAATATTTTTTTCTCCATAGACAATCAAAACAAAAGACATTTTTTCTTAATTTTTAAGAAGGAAATAGGATTGTGTTTGAAGTGGGAGACATGAGGTATGAGTAGGGGTAGTTAAATTTTTTAGTGGTTACTATCTTTGGGACAGATGCTGTGAATTGGATCTCTCAGCATACCTGATAGCTTCCCATTAGCCTGTCTTCCCTTGCTGCAGAAGAATGAAACACCGTCACAGAATTTCCAGACTCCCCTGAAGCTAATGTCACCTCCTAACTACTACTACTACCAGTGCTAGAATAAATTGGGAATCACACAGGATGAGATTAGCTAATTATTCAAGCACTATGGTGATGGTGCTTCCAAACATACCTCGGAAAACCTCTGGCACCCAACCTGACCTATAAATTCAATATAATTAAAATGAACATTCCTGGAGAAGTTTTGTAGAATTTGTCCACTTGATTTAAAATTTTTCATGTAAGAGTTAATGCCCACAGGTAGATAAGAGTTTTGAATCAAAAAAAGATACTTTCTTTTTTTTTTGAGACGGAGTCTTGCTCAGTCGCCTAGGCTGGAGTGCAGTGGCGCGATCTCAGCTCACTGCAACCTCCACCTCCCGGGTTTACACCATTGTCCTGCCTCAGCCTCCCCAGTAGCTGGGACTACAGGCGCCCACCACCACGCCCAGCTAATTTTTTTGTATTCTTAGTAGAGACGGGGTTTCACCATGTTAGCCAGGATGGTCTCGATCTCCTGACCTCGTGATCCACCCGCCTCGGCCTCCCAAAGTGCTGGCATTACAGGCGTGAGCCACCGTGCCCATCCACTTTCTTTATCAGATATTAAGACATACTGCAAGGATATAATAAGAATAATGTCATGATATTTGCATGTGACCAGAAAACAAGAACAATGTAACAAAATAGGCTATAAAATTGTCCTATGAATATAGGGAAATTATATGTGATTGGTATGGCTTAATAAATTTGTAAGGAAATAATGGTTTGTCTTAAGAGGTGAGGATTGAGAAACTTGCTTCCATCTACAGAAAAATAAAGCTTTTCTGTACCTCACAACAGTATAACAGTGAACATTAAATGGACCCAAGGCGTCAATGTGAAAGGTTAAACACACTTTCAATAGAAAAAAAAGACATTACCATAATGCGAAGAAGTATTGTTACTTAAGTCTCCCAAGAATGAAATAGGTTTACTCATATTTCTCTTTCGTGAAGGGCACAATAGAGAATTCAAGAGGTGAATTACAGACTGGGAGAGGATGATGGAAACAAAGAGACTAGAAATTAAAATATACAGGAAAATCTTGTCCATTAATAAGAAAAAGACAGTAAATTAGAAGGAAAATGTGCAAAAGATATAAATACTTATCAGAAATATTTTCTGATGGCTAATCTATTAATGAGAAGATGTTTAACTTCACTAATAATCAAATAATTAAATGTAATTGAAACATCAATGTTATAGGGTGACTATTCATTTAGGTTTGCTTAGTTTAATCTCAGCTTATGATTGCAATCTCTTTGCAGTTATTATCTCTTAACTATCAAAAGTGATCCTGCTTTGGATAGATAAAATATATATTTTCTTAATAGCTATCATGTCCTATGCATCAGATATGAAAAAAATGGCAAGTGAATTAACACCAAGAATTGGTGAGAATATAGAGAATGGAAAGCAAGGTTATCTTGCTGATATAAGTGTAAACTAGAAAAGCCATTATGAAGGGCAAACTACCAATTCTTAGTAGATTTGTGCCTGCGTGTTTCCTGTGACACTGAAATCCTGCAAGAGCATATGGCCAAGGGACACTCTCATTATCTGTTATTCCATGGCTGTTTGTGGTAGCAGGGAACTGAGGGCACCTAAGGTGTATTTAAATAGGAAAATGGAAATATGGATTGTAATGGAATACTGTGCAGAAGTTAGGACAAAGAACTAGATAAACATACAAAAAGGATCTTAAAATTTAGTGTTAAATTTAAAATTTGAAAAAAAATGTATAGGTGAATATCATTTGTCCAAATTAAAATCACATGCATCAAGTGACACTATTTTTTTTAATGAAAGTACATGCATATTAAAATCTATACTAAACACATCAGTGTGGTTAGCGAGGGGAGGTGAGTACAGAGGGAAAAACTAACAATGAGGGGAAAACAAATGTGAGTGAAAGAGCCTTGTACAGATGATATTACTGTCACAAGAGATGAAGGGTACACTTACTTTTGTCCCTTACATGATGGTAACTTATGTATAGATAGTGTATATATGTATACATGTGACATTCACATATATATATGTATGGTTTATAATGTTAAATATTTTACTGTGCAAGAAATTAATTTCTTATAAGTTTATTTCTTTATTTCCTGAATGACTTAGCAATTAGCTTTTTTTTTTCTTTACTTTTCTTGAGCTTTTACCTCTCAGTAGTAAGACTACATAGTCATTTATTTATTTATTTATTTATTTTTCCATCAATTATTGGAACTATTTCTTTAATCTCTAATTCTTCATAAGATGCCCAGGAATAGACAAAGTTATTTTAAATATTTGTTTGAAACTCAATTTAAATTTTAAAGAAAAACATAGTAGTATTGATATTTACTGTGAAATCAATTAATTACAGCAGACTAACATTGATCAGTTATAAAAACACTTTGAATTTATTTTTTGACAATGTAAATCAATTGCTGAAACACCAGCAATGAACCTTATAGATTGATTCTTCTATATTTTAATTGGCTTGGCTGTGTTTGCATTCGGATTTTGTGAAAATAGGATATAATAAGGAGAAGCATAGTTCAACAAGTAAAAGTATAAATGAGTTATTGACATCAGATTTCTCTAACTCAAAATTCTCACAAAACATACAGAGTATGGTTGATATTATTCTAGCAATAAAACAAATATGTTCGTACAAATGAAATATGTTCATTAAGGGGTTGTCCTGCTAATTTTTCTAACATTTACTGATCACCCAGCGTTGACTCTTCTAATTGCTTTATATTTATCACCCTCATTTAATCATCATAGTAGCTCAATAAATTAATGATTAGTATGAGTTCGATTGAGGACAAAGGCGATCCTTCCATGTAATTTAAGTGGAGATTTAATACAGAAAGTGGGTGGTTATAGAACTATGGAAAGGGTTGAAGAATCCGTCATTAAGTTGGGTCCCAAAGAATCACTTTTGGTAAAACACCGGATAGCCAGATAGAATCACACTCCCTTAGTCACAATCTTGCAGCAAGGTAATAATCAGAAGAATTGATGGCTCTAGGGATCCACTGCCATGGCTGGAGACTAGGAATCAGAAAGCTGCTGACCAGCGGTTGACTTCTACTTAATCTACTGAAAGAAAACAGGCACCTTAGGCTTAGCCTATCTTCTCTAGTGATTTACTTCCTAAGTCGCAGTCACCAAAAAATGCATCTCTTTAGAATTATTTAAATGACATCCAAAGCCATAGTTGCAAGGAATCTGGGAAATGTACTTTGTTACTTTCCTGCCTATGTACATTAAACAGAGGTTGGAAAGCATGTTAAGTACGCCAGTGCTGAGGAACAGACTTAGAGTTTTGTCAAAACCACATATTGAGTTAATGTCTTGCAATTAAAACACATGTTCCTCTTATAGTAATTGTCACAGAAACATTTTCAATTGTAGAAAACTTTAATAAAAAGCACCAGTTTTCTAAGAAAGGCAAGACATTTTAAGATAAATAGCAAAAACTATATTGATGACAAAAGTGTGTTTATGTGTAAATGATTGACTAATATAAAGTTGGTTATTCATATAACCTCCTACTTTTAAAACTAGACAGCGTCTGGAACATCCCAAGTTCTTAAAATGCTGCAATAAATAGCAGTATTTGTATATAAAAATATGTGACTTCCTAGCTTAAAACATCTATAAAACTAGATTTTAGAATATAATTTTGATTAATTTTGCATTTGCTAAAATTTTGACTAAAAGCTAAGGCATCGATTTTTATTAACCCATCAAATTGATGTTTGTCGATTTCAGTTTGACTTCTGAAGTAGTCAATGTTATTTATTTCTTTTTAGAAATTTAGAATATAAACATGGCATAAAGTTGTACTTTTATTTTAAAGACGAGCTCAATTTGTTACATCAAATAGTGACTAAAATTAAATGTTACATGTCTACATCTACACCCACATTCATATCTATGGCCATATCCATTTATCTTTCTATTTGTCTATCACTATTCACACAAATACCTTCAATTCATACCATACATTGCTTTTGTCAATGCCATAATTATTGTTTTACTCTCTATTTAGTAATCGTGAGATCTACATGGAACATGGTTTAAAAGATGAGCTATTATAGGATTTCATTATTTTTTAGGGAGTTCTGTTCAATGTTTTTTAAAAATAAACATTTGTGTAATAAAAGTTACTTTAAAACTCCTTGGTATAAGAGCAGTAAGTCTGTAGCTTTTTCAGAGATTAGAGAAAACAGTTGGTTTAAGCTAAAAACTTGTGCTAGTTTCAAGAGTGCGAGCACCAATATAAGGGAAAATAAATATTATTTGATTTCTAAAATATGAGACATTACATTGATAGATAAAATTACATTATAAAATTCGTTTCATATTTTGTGTATCCAGAAAGACAAAAATTGAAATGCAGTGGAATATGAATAAGGTCAGGAATACTTAAAGCAATGTCAGGTTTTGATATTAGAGGCAAACTAATTCTTATCATTTAGCAGAGTAAAAGTAAGTTGTTTGAGTTTCTATAAATTAGCTATGCTATTTATGAATAATTTACAGCATACCTATATATTTGTAAATTTTGTTTTTTTAAGAAAACATATTCTTCATAACGGTGCTATCAATTCCATCTCCAACTCAAATTGGAATCCAAAATCTTAAAACACAAAATCTTAAGAGTAAAACACTGTATGATCAGGACCAACCAGTTCTGATGATAAATCTATTAACCTGTCTCATATTTACATCTACTTATTCTGTCACAATATCTAAGATTTTTAAAAATTAAGACCTTATGAAAACAAACTTAAAAATGAAAAAGACGTGTTAATAATCACAACACTCTCAATAGCATTTAACTGTACATTAATACTGTATGAGCTAATGTAATAATATATATTTATGTATAGTTCTCTCCACATTAAGAACCTAACATACCCTTAGTCAGGTGTGAATACTAGAACAATCTTACACCACCGCCAGAGGTTGTTCTTTGTTTCTGAAATTAATAAAATGCTTCTGATTTCTTTTTGTTCTGTGTTGTTCTTTGTACATGCTGATTTGTGTGGTCATGTCTTTTTCTCGTATGGGAACCATTATTTTCAGCAGAAAAGTCCTTATAATCTATTACATCTCATTGTTTACTTTTAGAAAAATGTTTGTTAATTCTATTGTTCCAAGTTCTTGCACATACATATTCCCTTGACCAAAACTATATGTCTCATTAATTCTATATAACATTGGTTTCTATATTTTTAGATTTTTATGGTCAAGTTACATTTTATTTAAAAATCAGATGCTTTATAGAGAATATAAGCTTTTGATTTTTCTGAAGTGAATGGAATGACTATTTTTAAAAATGAAAGAAGGAATATTTCAACAAACAAAAGGAAGGAAAAGCACAATCTGAGAATTAAAAAGTGATTATCTAAAAGGAATAATTGCAGCTTAATGAAAAACTATAGTATCATTAGTTTTCTTATTTTGATTTGAAATATTATTTAAAAATCACAAACACCCAACTGACATATTAGAATCACTGATCTGTAACATTATTTAAGATCATTAATTTGTCTCATTGCCTCATTATACCCCCAACTTGACATAACCCAAGACCGGCAAATTCTGTGGACATGGGCTCATTGCTACACTTCCTTTATCACAAAAGTGCCCTCCTGGAACTATTAGTTCAGGGGTGCCACTTATTAACATTTGACTCATAAATATAATGTATATTTGTGCTGAGAGATATGAGAGAAAGAGAGTTAGCAAGATTTAAAAGAACCTATTAAAGCCTACTAAAGAATGTTAAGCATTTTGGAAACTGTTTCATAACAACCTAATTGTTGGATAATGTATTCTAAAAATTTGTGTTTGTCTGTACCATAATGGTACAAGACTGTAATGAAATAGGTCCCATCACACCTTCCTCTTGCTTGTCAAGTTATATAAAATTTTCAAATGCCTATACATTCTATGGTAAATAAGTTTAGTAGAACATTTGGATTTCCTAATAAATTCTGGCCCCAATATAGAATATTAAGATACATTTGTCATGAATTAGCTTTTTAATTTTTTTATTAAGGGGAGATAAATTTTACATTATTTATGCAATACCATGCAAGGGAAAGAGGTATTCTATGGAAGATTTAGTTACGAAATGAGCAATTTCTTGAATACTAAATATAGAACAAAATTGTGCTTATCTTCAAAAATAGGTTATTCATATGAATAGTGGGTTTTGGCTTTAAAACTCAGAAAGCTGTAAATAAAAATTAATATAGATTTTCAGTTTGAAAATCTCAAATGCCCTATGACATAATAGTTAACTAGTGAATATGACACTGTGTTGCAAATAAGAGATGTAAGGATACATGATTTAAAATATATCAAAACAGGGTTTGTATATGTGCCCTCGGAAAATAGCAACCTCATCTTCCAAATTGGCTTTACTTCCTTCAGAGTCCA
Organism: Homo sapiens; assembly: GCF_000001405.40. Classification (NCBI taxonomy): domain Eukaryota; kingdom Metazoa; phylum Chordata; class Mammalia; order Primates; family Hominidae; genus Homo; species Homo sapiens. The sequence continues at coordinate 187,610,039 of NC_000002.12, forward strand.
GGCTAACTCTTATTCTTTTGATTTTCTCATCAAAAGCAATGAAGATCTGAAAATATACTCAATATCCTCTGCTGGGATTCTTCACAGTTGGTATTAAAATCTTAAGGGAGAGAATATGAATTTTTGAGTTTGACAGATCTGGGTTTTAATCTTGCCTTAACAACTCTGGGACCTCTGTCAAGTTACATAAACTCACTAAGACTGAGATTTCCGTCTGTAAAGTGAAAACACAATATCAGGTTTGATGTCTAGCTTTAACATTCACCAGCTGTATGACTTTGGTAAAATCATCTCAACACTGTGTGGCTCATTTCTTCTCTGTAAAATGGTGAGAATGATAACACTTCCTTCCCTAGGCACTTTACCCAAGTGGCTAATAAAGGAAACCTCCAAGGTCCTAGATCTAATTATATGTTTTAAATTTTATATTTGTTTTCAATAAAAAAAAACTCCCAATTGAAAGCTCCCAGGAAACCTGTATCATCTTCTGCCTACTTCTTTGGGAAGTTTACAGGGTCTGTAACCCTCTGCCCCCTGGATCCACTTCCCTGCAGTCAGGGCATTAGCCCTCCAGACACACCCAGTTACTGTACTCAGCCTGAGCTTCCCACACACATACCCTTTGGAATCATAGGCCTAGAGGAGGCAGCCTAGGGGAGGGGAATATCAGAGGCCCTCAGAGGGCTGAATATCGGTAAAGAAAGTGCATGACATATCCCAGTTGTATCCACACAGCATATTTCAATCTCCCCACAACCCTGTGACGGGCACTGCTATGGTTTAAATGTATTACCCATATTTCTTTCTTTCTTTCCTTTCTTTCTTTTTAATATTATGTTTCATAATGGCTACTGTCTTTCAGGATTAGGTGGGTGACATTATGTATTGTGTCTAAATCAAAGTAGCTGCTTAATTAAAGATAGCTTTAATAATAATGTTAGCATTTATTATTATTCATATTCTATAAAGACAAAGTCATCTCATCAATCTTAATTGTATAGTGTTTCTGTGTGCAATTGATAATTCTTAAATTATTTACTCAAAGGTTTCTATACCGGTTAATTCTCATTTGCAAAAGTATCTTTCTAACATACAGATATATATTTTGTTGGTTAATAAAAATAAAAATAGTAATCTTTACTGTCATTATAGCATTATACTAGCACTTATTGAGTGCTTACTCAATGCCAAGCATTGAATAATTGCTACCTGTAGTAATAGTAGAAAATAAAGTAACAGGCCGGGCACTGTGGCTCACACCTGTAATCCCAGCACTTTGGGAAGCCAAGGTGGGCAGCTCATGAGGTCAAGAGTCGAGATCATCCTGGCCAATATGGTTAAACCCTATCTGTACTAAAAATACAAAAATTAGCTAGGCGTGGTGGCTACTCAGGAGGCTGAGGCAGGAGAATCGCTTGAACACGGGAGGTGGAGGTTGCAGTGAGCCAAGATTGCGCCACTGCACTCCAGCCTGGCGACAGAGCGAGACTACGTCTCAAAATAAATAAATAAAATAAATTAACAGTAAGTAGTCCATACTGACTACTTCTGAAATTATACATTTTTTAATTTTCGTGATGACTAATGAAGTAACATGACAGTGTAACAGGGAATCAATAAATTAAGAAATGTGACCAAAGTTCTCTAGCTTGAAGAGGCAAAGTCGGGATGTGAATGAAAGTCTATCTAATTGTTGAGTCTATATTATTAAAACACTACTCCATAATAGCCCTTCATGTTCACAGAAACCCTAAACTTATAACCACATCAGACAGAAGAAGTAATGTACCTTAGTTCTGAAATATTTATCACCTTTGCCATTTAGTTTTCTCGGCATTCATTTCTCCCTTACTTGGACACCCTGACCTCCTTTTCAGTGTTTACTTCCTTTTCACTTTGAGTAATCATAGTGGGGCTGCCAAACAAGACATCCTGCGCTCCTCAAAGTTTCTTTTAGAACTTTGTAAAACAGTGAGAACGTTCTCATGAGGAGATTTGTCTGTCCAATTGAATTTGAACCATGTCCTTTAATTTCTAATAAACCATTTTGCCATAAATATGAGATTTTTAAACCTAAAAATTAGACATTTGATAGTCAGAAAGCAAGTCTTTATAACATCTTTCATTGTATGTGAATGATATTATAAAAGACACTATGTAATAATACATTATCTGTGATGTAAAAAGTAGTGGAAAGTGAGATATATGGCAATTATTTCTGTTAAAATATTGTTTCTTTAAAAAGTTAATGATCTATCTTGAATGAATGAAAAAATGTGGTGTCTAAGACTCTAATATATAAAGTTCCAATTAGAAAGTAAAAGCCATCTGTATTAGTCCATTCTCATGCTGTTATAAAGATACTACAGAGACTGGATAATTTATAAAGGAAAGAAGTTTAATTGACTCACAGTTCCACATGGCTAGGGAGGTCTTAGGAAAGTTACAATCATGGTGGAAGGCAAAGGGGAAGAAAGGACCTTTTTTACATTGCTACAGGAGAGACAAGTGCAAGCAGTCGAAATGTCAGACACTTATAATATCATCAGATCCTGTGAGAACCCACTCACTCTCATGAGACCAGCATGGGGGAAACCCCTCCCTACAATCCAATCACTTCCCTCCCTTGATACATGGATATTACAGGTCCCTCCCTGCATACTTGGGGATTACAATTCGAGATGAGATTTGGGTGGGGACAAAGAACCAAACTATATCACTATCTTTTATTGAAGTGAAGCCTATCTTCTGTGATGCCACATACTTCACTGAAACAGTGCCATACTTTGGGTCACCACATTAAGATAATAAACACCACCAAAATTATACTATAATCTCTGACACATGACATAATCCACTGGAAACATTTAGAATAATAGAGAACATTTCTCTAAGTAATCATAGAGAATTCTTTTGTCATGTCTGGCTGATGTGAATGAGCAGTGAAAAGGCCTTTAACCAAACTGTGTGATGTGTGAGCTTGATAACTGCTGTGATCAAATTCTTTAAATCACTGCAAGGCTTATTAAAAAAGATCCAAATGCTTTTGATTAAGAGAGTCATGCTTCGGCAAATCTGCAAGGAGCATCCAGCTGTGTATCATTTCACATGGCTCATGGGTTAGTTTTTGGTATTGTGTGTAAAAGATTTAGATATGAAAATTCAATTAAAAAAGGGAATTTTGGTAGCAAACAGTGCAGACTTCTGGGGAGACATTAGCAGTTTTTGTGCCCCTCCCTTTTTTTTACCCTTTACGACATGAATTCATGCAATAATTTTTATCTGCAGAGTATGTTTAGTAGAGTAAATTTTTTCTTTTCATGTACAACAACCCGACACTCCTGCATACCATACTTTTCAGGCCTTAATGATTTAGAGAATGCTCAGAAGTGACTAATAAACAAACTGCTTTTGATAGAAGCCAGTGGTCAATATGCCCAATAATATAGACCTAAAAGGCAAGTAGAGATACTCTACAGATAGCTTTTAAGAATAAAAAGAAAACCTATTTGATGTATGACCTCAAACATTTTTGAGGCCTCTAAACATTATTCTTGTTTTTGGTAAACAGCATTTTGGAAATGATTTCAGAGAGATGAACACATTAGACAATGAAAATTAAGTGGAAAATTACAGAGCATCTATAATGTTTTATTTTAAAATTTCTCTAAAAATAAACTGTAACTTGTATTTGTTTACCTTATTTGTGCTCTTTCTCTGTGATGTGTTGAGTGTATGGGCCATATGCATAGTGGGCATACGGTTGGTTTTGGTTTGTCTAATAAACTAATGAACCAATTTGCAGGTTATTCATGTTAATATATTTTTGAACATAATAATGTTATAAAATAAATACCTTAAGCAAATGTTAACATATTTTTGTATTAATATGAGTATTAACATCAATATCTATATTAATATCAACATTGTATAAATATTTCTTTAAATATATTTCAGCAAAAAATAATAGGTGTTTACAATTGGAAAATAATATTTTGTTTTTAGTAATTTATTGATTAAGGATTTATTTTTTGAGCCTTAATAAACACCACACAGAAATTATTAAAGACATTTTTGTATTTATGAATTATATTCTTAGTATCTCCAGTTTCTCTGGTGTCCTACATATAATGGTGCTTAGATTTGTGGACAAATATCACATCCCTGTTTATCAGAGGTCCTTGAAAAACTCTCGTTATGTCAGTGTTAATCCTTTTCACATAGAAAATGGTCTAAAAAGAAAAACAAAGAAATCTTGTAATTCCTTTGAGAGGATAAATACAGCCTAATGTATCACTATGAAAGAGAAGAGATAAGTTCTTCTCTGGAAATCACAGGTATGAAAAGTTAGAAGGCTGTGTTAAGTATTTGTTTTTTACTTAGTAAATTCTCATCAAATACTCTTTGTAAGTTATATGATTCAGTTTAATTCTTTAATAGTATTGACATTTCCAGGGTTACAAAAGAAATTAGAGTAGTGATTATTTACACAATTGAATAAACAACTAATTTATCTTTCTAATAATGACTTGTCTAAAATAAACTTTGGTAAATTTATGTCTTGCTATCTAAGAAGCTATCAATGTCTCAAAAAATAATATTTAAAAAAGACTAGCTATATTACACTAATTGTTATTATACAGAGGAACTAACATTTCTGAATATTATGAGGGCCAACGTTCAGAAGCTGAAAGGTTTCAGCACTATTTAGGTTGTATACAACGTCTATAACACTTAATCTAAAAGTAATAACTCTTCTATCAGTAAGATCCCTGTAGCTTTGTGATGCAACTTATTGTAATAGGTGAATTATCTCCTGGTTGTGAATTGCGGTAAACATGAATTTAGTATTGCAATTTTTGATGTGTGGGTTCTCTTCTTTCTAGTGTCTCATATTACTCCTTATTGGAATGTGAACTGAAATGGAATGTACTGACTAAATCAGGGAGAATAGCTGCTTGAAGCAAAGACTGGCTTGCCAAGTTAATAGCTGTTAACCAAGCATAACAAAGATAACTGAATAGTTCAAGTGATGAGAACAGCAAAAATAAAGGCAATAAAGTGTGAAATTAAAAGTTAAGTGGAGTAGCTAAGATGGACAAAAATGGACTTCTTTTTAAATCACAGAGTAAAACCAATTAAGCTCATCAATTTGTTAACAATGAACACATTCTGCAGACCTCTGGTGATGTATTTCAGACTCTTTCCCTAAAATTTGAGGGTACAGCTGTGTATTTTTGCATCTGTTCCTGGAGCAAACATCTAAAGCAGAGAACTTACAGTATAAAGTATATCACTGTGTTCTCTGTTTGAAGGGAAAGTTGATGCCCACAAAATAACCATAACATCATGAAGGCTTATTGGGGCCAGGAGGGACACCTACCTCTCTGTACTTGGGTCACACACCCATGGTGTCAGAGGGCAGAGTTGGAAGAGGAAGTCGTATGGACATAACCATGAGCATGTTGGAAACAGCTGTGGAAGCACTTCTTGGGAGACTTCTGCTGGTCAGATACCACAGTCTGCTTCTTATGGGAATTCTGCCATTCACGTTGCAAGTACTTCCACTATAGTAATGAAGTGACCTTAAGTAAACCACTAGTGACTAACGAGAGTAGCAGAGCAGAGTGGTTATAAGCACAATAACTAGAGAGGTTTCCTGATTAATTACATCATAAAGACCCATTTTCCCTATTTTGGAAACCGAGGTTCATAATACTTCTCTCAGGGTTCTGTGTGGGTTAAACAAATTAGATAACAAATGTAATATTCTTTAGTTAGTGTTTGCCACTTGGGGTCATTGTGTAAACACACGTGTGCTTGGGATCCACATGATCTGTTTTCTTTGCAGATTGAGTCTGTTCATATGAATTTTGAAAGAAGTTCCTGAGAGATTTTGTGAACATATGCATAATGAAGGAAAGCATAAAGGTGCAGAGGTCACAAAAGTGAACACTTTTTTACCTCTCCTTCCTGTGCCCACTGTTAAGACTTTTGCATGTCAAAGGAAAACAATGATTTAGATCACTCAACCTTTTTGTTTGAGACCATTGCATTTCCTTGTGTGCTGTTGCTGGCACAGCGATCCTTCTGACTTTGCAGCATTGCTCTGAAGTACTCTCAGTTAACAACCATCTATCAATGTGATGGTTATTGGTTTGTAACTATTGGCTATTTTACCACTCCCTAGTTCTGGACTTGACTCTAATTCCTTTTCTGTCCTTTAACATTCACCTAGCCAAAGGATGGATTCTTTAACATCTTATCACACATTAATGAGTTCTATACCTCCTCATTAATAAGTCAACACTGATTCCCAGATCAGCAAAGAATTCCAGCTTTTAAATTTATGTATAATGAATGCGTGTATAATTTAAAAATATTAGATACCAATATTTTTAAAGAAAACAGAAAATACTATAGATTAGATGTATTGCAAACTATAAAATATGCTTGCAGTCAGCTTAGAAAAAGATGAAACTTTAAGAGGTGAATTTTAAAGATTATGTGGTACAGTTCAGTTTAATGGCTCTCTAGTTTTACTTACTAAAATATGAGTAAGTTTTATTTCATTATGATATTCAATGACTGTGAACATTAAAATTTCTCTCAAAAATGTTACTCTTAAATAATAGCAAATAATATTAAATATAAAGACATACTGCAAAGGCATAGTATGTGGTAACAGTAAGGAAGACTGAGTGTCTTAGTGAGGGGTATGTCATAAAATCAAATGTTATCCACAATTAAATCTAACAAAAGACCCCTAAGCTAAAAACTACAAAACAATGCCGAAAGAAACCTAAAAGACCTAAGTAAATGGAGATATACACCAAGTTCATGGATTAAAAGTATCAATTCATGCAAAGATGGATCAATTAAGGAGAACAGAGTCAAAGTACATACATACACACACACACACACACACACACACATATTAGCGATTGATACAAAATAAAGGTCATAAGGTAATTGAATGGGAAAAGAGAACTTTCAACAAGTGATGTTGAGGATGTAATAACTGCCTTTCAGAATTGTTCTGATGTATTATTTATCATTGTGTAATAAGTTATTCTAAAATTTAACAGCTTAAATACAAACATATATTTTCTCACAAAATTGCTTAGAGTTAGGGGCCCAGGAATGGCTTAGCTGGGTCCTCTGACTCAGGGTTGCTCACAAATTTAAAGTTATCAGCCCAAGCTTCTATCATGTCATTGCTCAACCAGGGCTGGAGAGCCCGCTTCCAACATAGCTCGCATGGCTGTTGGAAGGCTTCACACTCCTTGGCTGTTGACTGCAGGCGTTAGTTCTTTTCCTTGTTGCATTTCCATAAAGATGCTCACACATTGCAGCTGCTTACCCCAGAGTGAATGATGACAGAGAAGGAAGACAAAGAGTGTGTCAGGGCCCAAATGGAAGCCTCAGCTTTTAAAATAATCACAGAAATGGCATACCACCCCTTTTTCTGTGTACTGTTGGTCACACAGAACAAACCTAGTACAAAAATGTAGAAGGGTACTGCACAAGGGTGTAAATACCAGGAGGTGAGAATCATTAACAACTATCATAAAACACTGGTTATCCCATGAAAATAAAAGAAGTTAAATGTACAAAGCACTCAGAACAGTTTCTGACAAAGCAGAAACACTATTCGAGCATTGTCTATTCCTATTATGACCTATACCAATTATTTTGATATTTTTGACAATAAAGTATCACATTTGAGATAATATTATTACAGTTTATTCCATATTTGTAATTATGATTTTTTTCTTCTTACATCCTTTGTGGGATGATTGGTTGTAAGTTCACTGAAATTGATGTTTCAAATGCAGATAAGTTATTTTAGTATTTAATGTGAAGTTTTTAGGGTGAGATATGTGAGTGAATACAGGGACTGTCATTTCAGTGTCATGTGAATGCAGGGAACTGCCCTCATAATTACAGGCTGATCCTGATTGCATTATATCCTACAATGAAAGTCTCTCATTCTAGACTTTGATAAATAATGCCATGTGGCAGTTTCCAGTTTCAGCATCAGCAAGTAGAGCCAATGTGCCAGGTGCAAGCTGAGATGATGTTTCAATGCACAACAATTTGGATGCCAATGTTAGTGCTTTGCTTCCTCTGATTCAGCTCATCTTTCTGACATTGAGCATTACTGAGGTCAGTGCTCTGGTGATATGAGGTCAAAATAAATGAAAGTCATTGTGGGTGATTCTTGCAAGACACACATCTTTGCACAAAAAGTTGTTCACTTTATTGCTGCTTAATATGTTCCTTTTCAAAATTAGAATCATGAACTCTTTGAAATTTCACAGGTTGAGTGAGTGGATTTATAGCAACTGAGAATTATTAGGTCAACTTATAAAATAAGGAAACACAAACTTTAGATTTTTTGAGAAAAATAAGAATATGTTCTCTTCCAGCATAAATTTACAGTTGCCCTGACTCTGTTAAAAGGTGTAGCTTTTTGAAGGAATGCTTTGAAGACGATAAACACGCTATAGAACACAGCACCCCAGGTCTCTTGCCTCAGACGCTACATTCCTTAAAAGAAAAATGACCCTACTTCTTGCCTTTTCTTACACATAAAAAAGCCTACCGAGTTTAGCAATTATGCTCCTGCAAACTATAACTAGATGTACTCTTACAACCAAGCTCTCATATAATTTGCATGTACTGAATCTTCACTGCCTGAATAAAAACTATGAGCTGAAATGCTGCGTCAGAGCTGACAGAAATTCTCTCAAAGACTCTCCGAGGTTATAATCCTCAGTAAGATGGAATAAAACTAACTTTAATTATTTAAAACCCTGATTTTTCTTTAGCCTAACATTTAAATAGACAACTGTCTTTGTTTTTGTGTTGCTATCAAGGAATACCTAAGGCTGAGTAATTTACAAAGAAAAGAGCTTTATTTGACTCATTGTTCTGCATCTGGTAAGGACATCAGGCAGCTTTGACTCACGGCAGAAGAGGCAGGGGGCCAGTGTGTGCAGAGATCATATGGTGAGAGAGGAAGCAAGAGTGAGAAGGGAGATATCAGGCTCCTTTTCACAACCACCTCTCAGGAGAACTGGAAGAGCAAGAATTCATTACCATGAGGATGGCACCAACCCATTCATGAGGGATCTTCCCCCACAACCGAAACACCCCCCATTAGGCACTACCCCCAATACTACTGAAAGCCAAATTTTAATATGAGACTTGGTGAGGCTGAAAAAACTAGACCAAAACCATAGCAATATCTGATCCAAAGCTATATCAGGTATGCTCCTCAGAGCTATAGTTCTATAAGATGTTAGTAGCTGTTGCATGATGTCACTGGCATATGTAATTTCTTGACCATTCATACTTAAATTTTCACAATAACCTCCCAAATACTTTTCAGTAAATTACCTTTCTCCCAGGGTGCATTTGAAAACAGAGGCTGACACAAACTTTCAAGCTAGAATTTTGTTGATGAATATCATTCAAAGGAAGAAAACACGGATGGAAAGGAAGTGAGGTAGAGAAGAAGGAAAAGCAAATACAAGATAGTGCATTCCCAACCTCCAAGAAAACCAAGATGTTGACTCTGTCATGCAGAATACCTCTAGAGAGGCAGTTTAAAACCACTGCTCTTTGAATAGTCCTAGTTCCTATCTCTCATTAGCCAGTCCTTCCTGAACAACATTAAATCATCCACTCTTTAGAATGGTGTTGACCGTCTTCTCTTGACAGCATCTGGGAGAAGACAAAGCTGCCCCTGGCATGGTCTTCTTGACACTGAAGTTTCTGTGACTCCCAGAGTGAAGCTTTTAATAGAGATCATGGAAGCCCGCTCCTCACCCAAGCATAGGCTGAGACTACTGTCTGTGTTATGAGACTGTGGCTTTGTGACTGAGAACTACTGCAAGAGCCTGCTGGCTGGCAAATTAGTCCATCAGGAGAGGCCTGGAAGGCAGGTGGTGCTGAGCTAAGTCTGTGGAAGGTATAAACCAGGTCCAACACATAATATGTATATATATTTAAGAGGTATTGAGAGGAGAAAAAGGGACTTCTACTGAAGTCAAAGGGACTGAATCAATCATCCCCTAGGCCTCTTTCAACTAGTAATAGTACAATAAATTTGGTGCTTGTCCATCTAGCAGAACTTGGCAAAGAAGTTTTCAGCAACTAAGTTTGCAACCCTTGGCTTCTCATGCACTTGAGGATATTAAAAACTATTCAGTTGAAGTGTTTTTTAAGATAGAGTTATAAATTTGTTGTGAGGGGATCATACCTTCCCCTTATCTCAAGTGTAATGATAAAGACTTAAATAAGGCCACTTGGAGAATTTTAGAGGTGTTGCTAAAGTTTGAACATTTGGCGGACACATGAACTAGTGTTTCCTCACTTGGAAAAAGCAAAAGGTTTCCTGTAACAGCAAAGTCATGATCTAGGCTGGTTTGGTAAAGGGTGCGAAATGACTAGTCCAAGGGCTGGATTTACCACTAGGTAATGGGAGAGGGAGAGAGAATGAAAGAAAGAGCTAACTCCAGAGAATCTATTTGTACCAGAAGCTGAAGGAGGAGTGGAGTCACAAATGTCCAGGCAGATCTTGTGTCACCTTTGCCTTGGAAATACAGATGAGAGACCTTCACTTAATTCAGACTTCATCGTTATTTACTTATTTCCTCATATCTCTCTAACCTTGGTGTTGTTAGATTGGGTAGAACAAGAAGCTGGTCTAGCTGGGTCAAGGAAGAATTATAACTTTAAATTTACTCTTTTATTAAATCTGTTTGGGTACATTAATTTTAGAGTGAGGCTGTTTCAACGCTAAGGTGAGCAGGGAAGATTTGTTAGTGAAGATTGAACATCTGCGGAGCCTACCCAGATTTTATCCTGGATAGAGACAAAATGGTCTCAAGTAGTGAATTTCCAGGGGCAGTCTTAAGCAAAAAACTATAGTTATTTTATTTTGTTTTATAATTGTTCTCTATACCTTCTCATCTTCCAGTGTGCTGAAAATGTAATATTCATTTTATTTATTTCTATTTGCAGAAATGACTTAATGAACTTTCCTCTTTGTTATCCTTTAATAATAAACTATCATTCCCTAAATGGGCTACCTTTTCATGCTCTGTGCACCATTATTTTCATTAAAGTCTCCTTTCTCCTGCAAAATATTTGTTCCTGATTACAGAATAATCTATTATTAATTGTAACAGAAGTTTAAAAAGACAAACCCTATGAAAAGTAAATTTTAAAAGGATAAAATAAAATAGTAAATAAAAAACAAAAATTGCACTACACAGACAAAATAACTATTATATTTTATCTTTCAATAGATATGCTCATATATAAAAAAATGAATTTTTACATACTATATTTTTAAACTAATTTTAAACATTACTTGTGGCCATTTTCCCCATCATCAATTTTAAAGCTTCTCTTGTATTTCATTGTATGGGCATTTCAATTTATTTAATAGTTCCATATTTGGGGACATTTTAGTTGCTTTTTAAAAAAATAGCACGATGAATGTTATTGAAGAAGATTTTTACTTTGATTTCTGCAGTAAGACTTCTAAAAACTTCATGTTTTATTATTATTATTCTTGTATTTGATGTCCATCTATTTTGTTTGTATCCATTGTTCTTGTCCTTATGGCATATTCTCTGACCACTGACAACTAGACTGCTAGTTCATTGATTTTCTCTTACTACTTCTGGATAAAGATAATTTTATCTGGTGTGGGTAAAGTCGTATTAGGCTCTGTAAATTGTTTAATTGAACACTTTGGCATCATCTTAGATTTTAATCTTTAGAAACTGCTTCTTATTCAATGATCAGCAGAAGTAGTACTCAAAGAAGAATGTGGAGCTAAAGTATTCCTGGAGGAAAATTTGATCAATCTTTTTAATCTCTGAACTTAAGCATTACAAGCCAAAGGTCTATAGTTAATTTGGTTTTGCATCTCCTGAAGTTGCATGTTATTAGTGTTAGTGACCTCTTTTTTATTCCACTATTAATCAGAATAACAAAGACCATCTGGTACAAGTCACATCACAGGGAAGTCCAATTACCTATGGGTTTTCCTGTGTGTAGTTCCGATTGGATTTACACCTGTTATGTCTAAATGATGTCGTCCACAGAAATGACTTGGCTGTTACATGCCTATGGTCTTCACAGCTGGGTTCTAAGAGCCATATAGAGAAAGGGGAAGAAAGAATTGAGCCATTTGCAATTAAGTCTTTCCCGGAAATTGTAAATGCTCTCTTAAATGCTCTATCTTTTTTACCTTTGGATATGTTGATTTGAATAGAACAAAACCAAAGAAGACTATTTAGAGTTTTGTAATTATGTCAGGATATCACTCATCTATTCATTTTTCCTCCATATAGTTAATTAAAATGGTTGTAGTAAGAACAAAGGTTTATTTTCCTCATTTATACTTCAGCTTTTTAATGGAAAGAACCTAAACAAATTTAATATTCTAGCAATCTACCCAATATTAAAAATGAGAATCTCAATAATAATCTCAATTGTTTGCTTGTTCTCATATGAAACTTTTGAATATTTAGAGATGGCATTTCAAGATTTGTTTCTTACTTATTTTTCTTCTTGCCAGTGAATATTATTTTCAAAAACACCTTATATTATTTAGTTAATTAAGTACCTAAACTAATTTTGATAAATGTCTTCTCTTTTCTAAAATACAATCATGTAATTAATTGCACTAACTGAATCATAATCTGGGTTTGCTTCTCATTTTCACCTTTTCTTCAAGTAGCTATTTTCAAATACTTTGTGAATTATACAGTTGTTCTTCAGAGCCTGAATAGTCATATCATTCTGGATTAAAATGCTTGTCAATCATTGATCTCAATTTCACATCTAATATCTAAATTTAGTTCATACAAATCACAGTTGCAAATTATCTTCTTGATAGGGGAGAAATTTCATAGTCAGATACTCTACATAGATAACGGCCATGATTTAGAGACAAAATTTTGGCTTAATTTATTTATATTATTTAATCAACATTTTTCAAAAATAGTCTTCATTGAAAGCAGGAGGCTGGTATGGTGGCGCATGCCTGTAATCCTAGCACTTTGGGAGGCTGAGGTGGGCGGATCACCTGAGGTCAGGAGTTCGAGACCAGCATGGCCAAATTGGTAAAATCCCGTCTCTTCTAAAAAAAAATACAAAAATTAGCTGGGCGTGGTGGTGGGCACCTGTAATTCCAGCTACTTGGGAGGCTGAGGCAGGATAATCACTTGAACCCGGGAGGTGGAAGTTGCAGTAAGCTGAGATCACACCACTACATTCCAGCCTGGGCAACAGAGTGAGACTCTTAAAAAAAAAAACCAAAAAAGAAAGCAGAAAATAACAGATTTCAACAGTCTGTTTAGATGGGAATAATGAAAGTATATCCTATAAATGCATTACGATAAAACATTATTGTTAATTTAAAGATTGCATATAAAGACATTCTTTTTACTGAAGTTTTATAGATCTACACATTTGATAATTTGTTTTTTCTTACAATATGTCACTGGTATTATCATCTGAAGAACTCATATAATAAAAAATGATTTATCATACTTTAGATATGTCATGTTCTTCTTGATTCTTCTTTCAAGAATAAATGTAGAATTTCTCTCTCTTCTTGAGAGAAGACAGGAAGAACTCCAATGCTGAGAAAACAATAATATTAAAGGGCAAAAAAGATTTAAAGTTATATTTTAATATAGAAAGTCATAGGCCTCTTTCCAGTTGAGGCAGAAAAAGTTGTCTTTAGTAAATATAAGATGCAAACAAATCACATGGATGGCTTTGTTGAAGCAAAATGCTAGATATCTTAAGGAGATATAATGAGCTACATTTTAATAACACAAAAGATGCAAAAATATCTTTAAACAGATTACTCTAGATTTGAACAAAAAAAGTGTTCTGTCCTTGCAATAAAGAATATATTAGGTTGGCACAAAAGTAATTGCAGTTTATGCCATTAAAAGTAATGCCATTACTTTCTTTTCTTTGAGACAGAGTCTCACTCTGTCACCCAGGCTACAGCGCAGTGGCACAATCTTGGCTCACTGCAATCTCTGCCTGCCAGGTTCAAGTGATTCTTGTGCCTCAGCCTCCTGAGTAGCTGGGATTATAGACATGCACCACGTTACCTGGCTAATTTTTTGTATTTTTAGTAGAGATGAGTTTTAACCATGTTGGCCAAGCTGGTCTGGAATTCCTGGCCTGAGGTGATTCACCCCCCTTGGCCTCCCAAAGTACTGGGATAACAGGCATGAGCCAATGCCATTACTTTTAATGGCAATACCTGCAATTACTTTTGCACCAACCTAATATAAAGTAGCAGCATATAATGTAAAATGAGAAGAAATATGGAAAATATACATACAGCTAAAATGACTGAAACAAGTGAGTAGTGTGTTTATTTATTAAAATACTATGTTAATAATTAAATGATGTTTAACTTTGATTTGTAGATGAAAGGAGTTGCTACTAGAGTTAAATAATTTTTATCCTAAATTTTGTATGTTAGCTGGGTGCTCTGGCATGCGCCTGTAATCCCAGCTACTCAAGGGGCTGAGGCAGGAGAAACCCTCAAGACCAGGAGTTCAAGACCAGCCTGGGCAACACCCTGAGACCCTGTCTCTAAAATAACCAACAAAGTAAATAAATAAATAAATAAATAAATAAATTTTGTGTGTTGCCATTGTTTGCATATTACACTGCATTCATTGAATAGTATGTAGACTATCTCTTAAATGAGGTATACCTTTCAAACTTCAGTTCACCATTTACATTGCAAGGCATCAGGATGTGATGGACTGTGGTTCAGAAAACTTGAGCTTTAGTCCTAAGTTTTTTACTGATTCACTATGTAGAACAAAAACACATCAAGAATAAAAACAACAACAAAAAACCTAATAATTTATTTACCCTAGTTTTGATGCTCCACATCTGTAAAATTGTTAGTTTAGTCTTGATAAGTCATCTCTAAGACCTTTTATATTTTTAGTAATCTATTAGTTGAAAGAATGAGAAAAGTAAGCTAGTTCACAATCTATACAAGCTCTCATCTGATTAGAGGAACCCAATGCAATTGGGAAGAATTTTAGAATTCTTTCCTAAAAGAGCAGATATGGAGAATTCCAACTAAAGTGTAATTGCAGCAATTGGTTATTGCTAATTTGGTAGGTAACCAGAAAAAATTTCTACTCAATTATTTCAAATATGGAATATTTTAATTTTATGTATTTTATATTATATTAATTTAATTTAAAATATGAAATATTTACTATGCAGAAAATCATATAAACCTGTACTTACTACCTGATAACATATTTAATAATCACAAAAATATGTCAATGATGAAATAGTAAAACTCTAAAAAAAATTAATGGGCTGGGCGCAGTGGCTCACACCTGTAATCCCAGCACTTTGGGAGGCCGAGGCAGGTGGATCACCTGAGGTCAGGAGTTTGAGACCAGCCTGACCAACATGGTGAAGCCCTGTCTCTATGAAAAAAAAAAAAAAAATGGCCGGGTGTGGTGGCAGACACCTGTAATCCTAGCTACTAGGGAGACTGAGGCAGGAGAATCACTTGGACCCGGGAGGTGGAAGTTGCAGTGAGCCGAGATTGCACCATTGCACTCCAGCCTGGGTGACAGAGCAAGACTCTGTATCCAAAAAGAGAAAAGAAAAAAAAATGTTGGGGCAGATTTTTCAAAAAGTTTTTATCTTTCAGATATATTCGGTGGTACTGTCAGTATTCTCTGACTCATTGACTCTGTTGGAAGAAATGCTTATCACAGCAAACCTCATTTTTCAGATAGGAAATGGAACTCGCCGCTACAAAGAGGGGAAATGTAGAAGAATATGACAGCTTCCATCCTATTCTTCTCATCTCCATATCTTTTCCTCATAAAGGCATATCTTGTTTGAATATCGAACTTGGGTTAAGATTTGACATTTCTAATTGAACTCTTCTGGCTTTTTTCCTTAGAAAATCCCGGTTCTCAGGAGCACACATTCTCTGCTTATATAGGTGTAAAGTGACCCAAAACAAGCTCTAACCATGCAAGGAGACACAATCATTTTAGTGTTTGTTATGGGAAGAAGAGCATTAGCAAGCCCATTTGTCCTGAGAACAAAGCTTTCACCAATCACCTCTATCTGCATTTTCATCTCTGATCGTCTTATTTCAAATGGTCTTAAACTGTGTATTATTGGCTACCTGTTTTACATTTTATTTTATAGTATCATTAAAGCTCCTGTGCTCAGTTAGCACTTACCTATAACACTGTTCACACTCCTGGATCTTAGGAAAAAAAGACTCTGAGTGAGGAATAATTTGAGGAAATTTAATAATTTCATAACTTAATGTCAAGATTTTGAGTCAGTTTGCACTTGGTTCTTCTCTGACCTTCTCCCTATTTGAGTAATTTGTTTTCAAAGGGAATTGATACAGAGGATGAATATTACAAAATGGTTTAACTTTATTTCATGTCATTCTTAAGAGCTAAATTATTTTTTTGAAACTTCCTTATTTTCCTACATTCCTCAGACTATTCTGGTGTCTAAATTCTTGTAAAACAAGACTTTTAAGGACAAATTTCTTTGTATTTTTGTTACCTGTTTTTGAAAACTTATTTCAAAGCATATAAATTTTGACTTCGTAATCGACATTTAAGCCCATTGTATATATAAAGCACATGAAGTACTTACTAAACACACAGAACAAGAAATGGAAAGAGAATATACAAGTGAGTACAAGTAAAACAGAGATTTTAGAGAAGACCTTTTTTTGAAATTATAGATAAGAAATGCCTTTTTAAAATAGTAGAATCTTGCTATAATTGAATCTTAAATTTATTTTTCCTAAAAACTCCATGTATATTAATGCCTGTTGCAAAGCCCAATTACTTTGAAATGCATATTGCACAAACAGATCCACATATTCTCTAAAAGAGAAGAAAGTTTTATCTTTGCACATCACAAACTGAGCTCTAAGGATTAAACGTCTATTTTATTCTTCCAGAGAAAGAAGCCCAGACTAACCCCTTACGAAAAATGCATGTAAACTAAAGGGAGGTCCATCCAGCCTTCCCAGACAAGCAGAATTGTGAATAGCAATGAACAGATTCCTCTTTTTCCTGTGTACTCTGCGAAAGTGTTTGAGTAAAGAATAATTGCGTTTATTTCTCCTCCTCCTCTTTTTTCCTTCTTCTTCTTCTTCCTTTTGTGGTAATTATTGCCAGATACAATTAACCATAATTTGACATTATGCTTCATGGATATTACTGCATTAAGTATATTCTGATCAATTAAGCCATGTGAGTCACAAATTAAAGAACACATCATCACATTAATTTATCTGGTAGTAAATTCTGGAGCTGCCAAATCTGCATAGAGTTCAAGGGAAGACTATGAAGACTTGAAGATTGGCTGTTGAAAAAGATCATATGTAAACAATAGGCACAAACAGTTCACCTCGATCTGTAGGATAAAGAGTAGAAACTTTCATCCATTTCAATGTATACTGTCTACGCTCTATAATAACCTGTTGTTTCCTCAAAACCTTCCTTAAGATTCATTATAATCTGATGCCACCTGGATAAAAACCTTGGTATGGTATGCGAGGTACTGAACAAAAAGAGATGGGACTTGGAAGATACCATCAATTGATGTATTTGTTTGTTTGTTTTTGACTTTTGTTTTGTTTTGTTTTTCTTTGTGAGGGAGTCTCGCTCAGTCACCCAGGCTGGAGTGCAGTGGCGAGATCTCAGCTCGCTGCAACCTCCGCCTCCCGGGTTCCAGCAATTCTCCTCTCCAGCCTCTCGGGTAGCTGGTATTACAGGCGCCCGCCATCACACCCAGCTAATTTTTGTATTTTTAGTAGAGACAGGGTTTCACCATGTTGGCCAGGTTGGTCTCAAATTCCTGACCTAAGTTGATCTGTCCGCTTCGGCCTCCCAAAGTGCTGGGATTACAGGTGTGAGCCAGCGTACCTGGCCCATGGATTGACTTTTGGTCCTGTCTGACATACAGTAGTTTATAAATGTAAATTATTTTAAAGCAATTTAATCCTAAATCATTTTCAGAAAATTACACTCTTGGATTAAAAATGAAACAAAAGAAATTTAAAAAACAATTGCTAGTATCATGAAGATATCTCAAATGAAATCATGTATCAATAGTATTTTAAGGTCAAGAATGTTAGATGACCAAATCTGAAGATCTGATAATGACATAGAAAAGGGGAAAAGAAAAATTATAAATGCATTGGTTGTTATTTAGCCACACACATTTGATTTGCCTATTCTTTTTTTATTGAAAACTGATTTTTTAAATTTAGTATAAATTTATATTTAGAATGAATAAATTTAGTATAAATAAAATGAATTATACAGCAATCATTAAGTGGACATTGGTATTCTCTCTATTACCAATTTCTATCTGTGATCATTGTCAAGCCACTTACTTTTCTTATATGAAAGATTCTCTGTAATTTTAATAAAAATTTTAGTATCATTTCTATAGCAGTGGTATGAACATTCATTAAGATGTATATAAAGTCAGTGATTATGACTAGAAACTATTTTAGAGAAATAATTTTTATAAATAAATATGTTACGTAAAGACAACCTTCCAAATTTGCAATTTATAAAAATTCAGATTTTCTATGATGAACTGCGTTTATCATCTATATTAATGTGAAGCTGAGAAGCAGTTATTGCAAATAATCCAGAATACCCAGAACATCTTTCCTTGATTGTGAAAAAGACTATAATTGAATTGCTCTTCAAATATAATTGTGATACAAGGCATTTTCTATATGCATAAGATTGACTAATAGTCCAATCACTTATACTTAGCCATATGGTTATGAGTAGCTTGCAGCTGACTATGGATTTTACATTACAATTAGGAAGGACATACTTTTAAAACCTTCAAGAGGAAATTTTAATCATGATGCATTACGTTTTAAATTGTGATATATCCAAATCCATATTTAAGAAAACATTAAGCTTTCATCATGTTTCTAAATTCATATTTTAAAAAAATATAGTTTTTATCACATAAATACTACATGCAGTACCCTTCAACCTGTCTAATCACTAGAAGGATAAGATAGTACTAAAAAAGGGATGACAGGGGCGAAATTTGAAAAAACAAAGTGCATTTTAACGTGTGATATGGTTTGGCTGTGTCCCCACCCAAATCTCACCTTGAATTGTACTCCCATAATTCCCATGTGTTGTAGGAGGGACGCAGTGAGACATAATGAAATCATGGGGTGGGGCGGTTTTGCCCATACTGTTCTCATGGTAGTGAATAAGTCTCACTAGATCTGATAGTTTTATCAGGGTTTTTTCTGCTTTTGTGTCTTCCTCATTCTCTGTTTGCCTGCTGCCATTCATGTAAGATGGAACTTGCTCCTCCTTGCCTTCTGCCATGATTGTGAGGCTTCCCCAGCCATATGGAATTGTAAGTCTAATTAAATCTCTTTCTTTTGCAAATTGCCCAGTCTCAGGTATGTCTTTAACAGCAGCGTGAAAACCGACTAATGCAGTAAATTGGTACCAGTCGAGTGGGTCGTTGCTGAAAAGATACCCAAAAATGTGGAAGAGACTTTGGAGCTGTGTAACAGGCAGAGATTGGAACAGTTTGGAGGGCTCAGAAGAAGACAGGAAAATGTGGGAAAGTTTGGAACTTCCTAGAGACTTGTTGAATGGCTTTGCCCAAAATGTTGATAATGACACAGACAATAAGGTCCAGGCTGAGATGGTCTCAGATGGAGATGAGGAATTTGTTGGGGACTGGAGCAAAGGTAACCCTTGTTATGTTTTAGCAAAGAGACTGGCGGCATTTTGCCCCTGCCCAAGAGATTTGTGGAAATTTGAACTTGAGAGATGATTTAGGGTATCTGCTGGAAGAAATTTCTAAGCAGCAAAGCATTCAAGAGGTGACTTGGGTGCTGTTAAAGGCATTCAGTTTTATAAGGGAAACAGAGCACAGAAGTTAGGAAAATTTGTAGCCTGACAATGTGATAGAAAAGAAAATCACATTTTCAGAGGAGAAATTCAGGCCATCTGCAGAAAGTTGCATAAGTAATGAGGAGCTGAAGACTAATCCCCAAGATAATGGGGAAAATGTCTCCATGACATATCAGAGGTCTTCATAACAGCTCCTCCCATCACAGGCCTGAGGCCTAGGAGCAAAAGATGGTTTCATGGTCCAGGCCCAGGGTCCCATGCTGTATGCATCCTAGGGACGTGGTGCCCTGCATCCCAGCCACTCCAGCCATGGCTGAAAGGGGCCAATGTAGAGCTTGGGCCATGGCCTCAGAGGGTACAAGTCACAAGCCTTGGCAACTTCCACGTGGTGTTGAGCCTGTGAGTGCACAGAAGTCAAGAATTGAGGTTTGGAAACCTCCACCTAGATTTCAGAAGATGTATGGAAATTTCTGGATGTCCAGGCGGAAGTTTGCTGCAGGGGCAAGGCTTTCATGGAGAACCTCTGCTGGGGAAGTGCAGAAGGAAAATGTGGGGTCAAAGCCCCCACACAGTCCCTACTGGGGCACTGCCTAGTGGAGCTGTGAGAAGAGGGCCACCGTCCGTCCTTCTGTCCCCAGAATGGTAGATCCACTGACACCTTACACCATGCTCCTGGAAAAGCCACAGACACTCAACACCAGCCCATGAAAACAGCCAGGAAGGAGGCTGTACCCTGCACAGCCAAAGGTGCAAAGCTGCCCAAGACCATGGGAATGTACCTCCTGCATCAGCATGACCTGGATGTTAGACATCGAGTCAAACGAGATCATTTTGGAGATTTAAGATTTGACTGCCCCACTGGATTTTGGACTTGCATTGGGCCTGTAGCTCATTTGTTTTAGTCAATTTCTCCCATTTCCAATGCCTGTATTTACCCAATCCCTGTACCCCCACTGTATCTAGGAAGTAACTTACCTGCTTTTGATTTTACAGGCTCATAGGTGGAAGGGACTTGCCTTGTCTCGGATCATACTTCAGACTGTGGACTTTTGTGTTAATGCTGAAATGAGTCAAGACTTTGGGGGACTGTTGAAAAGGCATGCTTGGCTTTGAAATGTGAAGATATGAGATTTGGGAGGGGCCAGGGGTGGAATGATGTGGTTTGGCTGTGTCCCCACCCAAATTTCATCTTGAATTATATTCCCATAACTCCCACATGTTGTGTGTGGGACTTGGTGAGAGACAATTGAATCATGGAGGCAGTTTCCCCCATACTGTTCTCATGGTAGTGAATATTCTCACTAGATCTGATGGTTTTATCAGGGGCTTCTGCTTTTGCATCTTCCTCATTCTCTCTTTTCCTGCTGCCACCCATGTAAAATGGGACTTGCTCCTCCTTGACTTCCACCATGATTATGAGACTCCCCCAGCTGCATGGAACTGTAAGTCCAATTAAATTTCTTTCTTTTGTAAATTTCCCAGTCATGGGTATGTCTTTATCAGCAGTGGGTAAACAGACTAATACAACGTGATTTAAATGTTATAATCCTTAAAGACAGGAATAGGTCCTATTTCAAATATGTATATATGTATAATCTTTATAAACCTTATTAGATATGTATAGGTTCTTCTTCTCCTAAAGGTAGCATTCAACAAACATTTCAAATGTATTTTGGGATACAAATACAATGGTTCCCCCCACCATATCGAATCCCTACTTTTGTGTCTAATTTCATAATCATCCTGTTCTTTATCTTCACTTCAGCAATGGTCTTTTTTTATAAATCAAGTTGTCAAATCCTACAGCATGCAGTAAGCTCTTACCCAGAGGTCCCTCAAACTGGAATGCTCTTCCTTCTTTGGTTACTTTTCCATCAAATCTTACTCTTGATTAGTTTAATCCTTCTGATTCTCTAATTTGTTTATTCATTCTGATGCCATGATCTTAGTGTTTGACATGACCACTGCTCAACACTTGCATAATTTGTTTTTCTATATCTCTTGAAAACTTGTGTTATTTTATACTTAAAATCTCCCCTTTAATTTTTGATTAATATATTTACATCAAAAGGAATTGTTCAATTATTATGCAAAAAGAAATTTGATCAAATAAATGAACTTTCCATGAATATGTATTTTTAATATGTTTTTAAAATATTACTTAGACATACAACACTTTAGGGAATTTCATGTAATGAGTTGAGAAGACAGTAGCATCAGATCTCTTCCCATAGACTTAGAAATACAAAAACTCAAGTAAGTCACCATAGTGATTTGCCCTGAAAAGGTATTCAAGGCTATATGCCTTCTTTATAATCTCTTCCTTCTCTGCAATTGTACCAATTGGCTTGCCTCACTGTTATGAAAATTATCACATGCATATTGTGCTGATGTTATGCTGTTTCCCTTATTTTATTTTACTCTATGTGTCTAGTGGTATGCTTGGTCTTTTTACATATTATACAGTGGAAGAGACCTGTAGATGTTAGACACTCAAAACATATTTAATTAATGTAAATTAAAAATTAAAATTACTTTTAGTTTTAGGCGTTTTGAAGATGGAAAGATACTTTTTTTAGAATCATAGGAAGACATTTATATTTCTCTATGATTGTCCTGAAAGCACTTTTATTCCAACCTAAAACACCCACATGACTATGGGTAGAAAATAGTAAGCATTTTATAAACATACTCTTAATAAATTAATGACAGTCATTCATCATTAAATGGGAAATTCATGCAATAGTTGTTAAAATAACCAAAACAATTTAATGACAATTATGTCATTCACACAAAATGCATATTAAAAGGAGAAATGATATCGTGTGGAAGTAATTATAACCATGACAATACTGATCCCACTGACCATTCAAAGTTCAATTAATTAAGTTTTTAAGTTTTAAAACCATTATTATTCTGGTGAATAGTGCACTTTCATTTCCCACAACATATGCCCAATATTATTGATCAGAAATATTCTTATGTATAATAAAATAAATACATAGAATTCATGTGGGGGAAATATTCTCAGTTGATTGATTTGTGAATATTTAATAGTTTGGTAAAGTCTTGTAAACATCAATATCATTCTCTTAACATAAAATAATTTAATAATATACAGTAGAATATAATTATTTTTCCTCAATTTTAGCAAAAGAATAAAGAAAACTGTAAAGTAAAATATGCCTTTGATGAAAGATAAGTCAGCATATTAAATGTTAAAACACACAAACATAGTCATTATAATCAAACACACACATTTAAGGATAGAGTTTATTAAGTTTAAATAGCAAAATCTTTCAGGCACTGTTTATGTTTTTTGATTGTGTCATATCTAATTACATTATTATACCAATACAGATTTATGAACATATATAATAAATGTAATAAATTTTTAGAGCATAAAGCAAAAATTCAAAAAGATTTTTCAAAAAATCCTGGTTAATGATAAAGGTAAGGGAGTTAAAAAGTAAATACCCATGCTTTAATTTATGCCTGAAAAAGCTGATTCTAAAACACTGATGAATTTGATTCAGTTAAAACCCTGGAAAAGATCATATATGCAAACTCTAACTCTACAGAAGCCAAATTTGAAATCGGTAAGTTATTCAAATAACTAAAAAAGTAAAGTTACCTTAACAATAAAGGCCTTCCTGATAATTCTAGGACTTTTTAAGAACAATTGCCAACTTCTAGAAAAGTTTCACATGCAATAGAGAGTACTCCCTACCACCCCTGTCTCCAAACCATATAAGAACAAAAGTTTAAAGCCTATTAGGCTATAATACTTGCTTACAAACAAAAATTTCGCATAAATAAATTTAGTACAACCATCAGTAGCGGGAAATAAATATTGATATATTACTATCATCTACAACTCATGCAATGAAGGTTTCACCAAATGTCTGAATAATGCCTTTTCCAGCAAAAACTCCAGTTCAGAATCACATATTAGTTACAGTTTATCATGTTTCTTTAATCTCTCTTGGTCTTGATTGATTCTTTATCTTTTCTTTCATTCTTTTTACCTTTTACATGTTTGAAGATCATAAGGCACTTCTATTGTGGAAGGTCCTTCCATCAGTATTTGTCTGATTATTAGGTTATTTATATTGACAGGAATATTGCAAAGGTGACACTGTGTTCTTATTGCATCCTATCAGTTGATACATGATTTTAATTTTTCCCATTATTGATTCTGTTTTAATGAGAGTGGGTACTCTTGCCTTATTCTGAAAGTTAGAGGGAAAGTTTTCAACATTTTACCATTATATATGGCATTTGCTTTAGGAGTTTTGGACCTTCATAATTTGACAGCTCTGTAAGATAATAAAATTTTTATTCTACTTATAGCATGCTAAATATTTTTATCATGAAAGTTTTTCGAATTTTAAAAAATATTTATTTTGTATTTATTGAATTCATTGTATGATTCTTCTTCCTTTGATATGGTGAATGGTATTGATGAACTTTTCAAATGTTTAATGAACTATATTTCCGTTACTGAAATAATTCTAAACAGGTTGTGATGCATTGTCCTTGTTTATTTCTGAATTCAGTTTGCTAGTCTTTTGTTTAGAATTTTTCATATCTATTTTTGTGAAAGAGATTGGCCTAAAGTTTTCTTTTATTCTCATCAAGGTTTGATGTCAAGGTTATGCTCACCTTATATAACAAATTTGAACATTTGACTGGTCCTGGTGGCTCATGCCTGTAATTTCAACAATTTCAGAGGCCAAAGTGGAAGGATTGCTTGAGCTCAGGAGTTCTAGACAAGCATGGGCAACACAGTGAGATCCTCTCTCTACAAAATATAAAAAATTAGCTGGGCATGGTGGTGCATGCCTGTGGTCCGCAGCTACTTGGGAGGCTGATGTGGGAGAATCATCTGGGCCCGGGAGGTTGAGGCAGTGAGCCATGATTGCACCACTCCACTCTTACCTAGGCAACAGAGCAAGACCCTGTCTCAAATAAATAAATACACAAAAATAAAGAGTTTGAAAATGTTTCCTCTTTTCCTATTCTTTGGGAAAATTTGTTTACAATCTGCAGCATTCACTTATAAAGTGAATATGTCCTAGAGTTTTCTGTGACAGATTTAAAATTACAGATCCAAAGTTCTTAAAATTGTATTTTGTATTGGATAGTCTTCCCTTAGATTCAAAAAAAAAAGAGGAAAAACAAAGAAAGATCCTGGGACAATGACTTGGAAGAAGGTAATTTAGTTAGTAAGGTAGCCCATAGAACAGGAGTGAGGGACTAGGGAAATTGAGAGAGAAGGAGGAAAGCTGAAACAAATCTATATAATCAAGCTGTTAACCATTCTAGATGGTTGTGGTTTGATCCCCTGGGAGTTGATAGGTTGGTGTGAAGACTGCACCTGAAAGTTGTCTGTCTTAGTCCTGGAAATGATAAATGTTCATTCATTAGTGTCTGTGCACCCATTGGTCAAAGGTTGTCATATGAGATGTTAACTTCCTTATGCTTACACTTCTGAGCTATACATACTTTAAAGCTAAGCTGGTTTCTGCTGTGTCCTGACTGTTGTTTTAGATAAAGACAAGGCAAAAAGCAAAGATGAGTTGTGTAGGGCAGTCAAGGTGTTATCGCCACATATTTGGGCACAGATAGTTGTCGTAGCAATGATTGTATAAAGAGGTTAACCCCGTGGAGGTGAGGCAGGGCAAAAGTATTTAAACAGTCAGGGGAGATGCAGTGGCTCATGCCCGTAATCCCAACACTTTGAGAGGCCAAGGCAGAGGGGTCACTTGAGGTCAGGAGTTCCAGACCAGCCTGGCCAACATGGTGAAACCCTGTCTCTATTAAAAATACAAGAATAAGCCAGGCCTGGTGGCAGGCACCAGTAATCCCAACTACTCAAGGGGCTGAGATGGGAGAATCGCTTGAACTGGGGAAGTGGAGGTTGCAGTGACCCAAGATTGCACTGCTGCATTCCAGCCAGGGCAACAGAGTGCGACTCTGTCTCACAAATAAATAAATAAACAAATAAACAAACAAAAAATTAAAAAAATAGATTTTTCTATTCCATCTCAAGTCAGTTTTGCTAAAAATACAACAACAACAAAATCCTTAATAATACTGATTTTCTCTGTTGTACTTTATAGGACATTTCATTAACTTCTGCTTTTACTTTTATTATTGCCGACCTTCTATTTCATAGTGTTTAATTTTTGTTCTTTTTCTAAGCTTTTGACATCAATGATTAGATCTGGTTTTCTTTTTTTTTTCTTTTTTTTTTCCGGTATTTATTGATCATTCTTGGGTGTTTCTCAGAGATGGGGATGTGGCAGGGTCATAGGGTAATAGTGGAGAGAAGGTCAGCAGATAAACAGGTGAACAAAGGTCTCTGGTTTTCCTAGGCAGAGGTCCCTGCGGACTTCCATAGTGTTTGTGTCCCTGGGTACTTGAGATTAGGGAGTGGTGATGACTCTTAACAAGCATGCTGCCTTCAAGCATCTGTTTAACAAAGCACATCTTGCACTGCCCTTAATCCATTTAACCCTGAGTTGACACAGCACATGTTTCAGAGAGCACGGGGTTGGGGTTAAGGTTATAGATTAACAGCATCCCAAGGCAGAAGAATTTTTCTTAGTACAGAACAAAATGGTGTCTCCTATGTCAACTTCTTTCTACATAGACACAGTAACAATCTGATCTCTCTTTCTTTTCCCCACATTTCCCCCTTTTCTTTTCGACAAAACCGCCATCGTCATCATGGCCTGTTCTCAATGGTCACTGTCTCTTTGGAGCTGTTGGGTACACTTCCCAGACGGGGCGGCTGGGCAGAGGCGCTCCCCACCTCCCAGATGAAGGGCGGCCGGGCAGAGGCACTCCTCACCTCCCAGACAGGGCGGCCGGTCAGAGACGCCCCTCACCTCCCAGACGGGGTGGCCGTGCAGAGGCTCCCACTTCCCAGACGGGGCGGCCGGGCAGAGGCGCTCCCCACCTCCCAGACGAAGGGCGGCCGGGCAGAGGCGCTCCCCACCTCCCAGACGGGGCGGCCGGGCAGAGGCGCTCCTCACATCCCAGACGATGGGCGGCCGGGCAGAGGCGCTCCTCACTTCCCAGACGATGGGCGGCCGGGCAGAGGCGCTCCTCACTTCCCAGATGGGGCAGCCGGGCAGAGGCGCTCCTCGCTTCCCAGATGGGGCGGCCGGGCAGAGGCGCTCCTCGCTTCCCAGATGGGGTGTCCGGGCAGAGGCCCTCCTCACTTCCCAGATGGGGCGGCCGGGTAGAGGCGCTCCTCGCTTCCCAGACGGGGCGGCCGGGCAGAGGCCCTCCTCACTTCCCAGATGGGGCGGCCGGGTAGAGGCGCTCCTCGCTTCCCAGACGGGGCGGCCGGGCAGAGGCCCTCCTCGCTTCCCAGATGGGGCGGCCGGGTAGAGGCGCTCCTCGCTTCCCAGATGGGGCAGCCAGGCAGAGGCACTCCTCACATTCCAGACGGGGTGGTGGCCAGGCAGAGGCGCTCCTCACATCCCAGATGATGGGCTGCCGGGCAGAGAGGCTCCTCACTTCCCAGACGATGGGCAGCCAGGCAGAGACGCTCCTCACTTCGCAGACAGGGTGGCGGCCAGGCAGAGGCGCCCCTCACTTCCCAGATGGGGCGGCTGGGCAGAGGGGCTCCCCACATCCCAGACGATGGGCGGCCAGGCAGAGATGCTCCCCACTTCCCAGACGGGGTGGTGGCTGGGCAGAGGCTGTAATCTTAGCACTTTGGGAGGCCAAGGCAGGTGGCTGGAAGGTGGAGGTTGTGGCGAGCCGAGATCACGCTACTGCACTCCAGCCTGGGCAACACTGAGCATTGAGTGAGCAAGACTCCGTCTGCAATCCCAGCACCCCGGGAGGCCAAGGCGGGCAGACCACTCGAGGTCAGGAGCCAGAGACCAGCCCGGTCAACAGGGCGAAACCCCGTCTCCTCCAAAAATACAAAAACCAGTCAGGCGTGGCGGCGCCCGCCCGCAATCCCAGGCACTTGGCAGGCCGAGGCAGGAGAACCACGGGAGCCCGGGGCAGGGAGGCTGCAGTGACCCGAGACCACGGCAGTACAGTCCAGCCTTGGCAACAGAGGGAGACCAAAGAAAGAAAGAAAGGGGAGAGAGGGAGACTGAAGAAAGAAAGAAAGAAAGGGGAGAGGGAGAGGGAGAGGGGTAGATTTGGTTTTCTGTTTCCCTTCTTTTTCAGCTAGTCAGTAAAGATTATACAATTCCCTTTAATACATTAGTGCTGACCCTTTTGTTTTAATATGTTCCACTTTTACCATCATTCATTTCAAAATGCTTTCCATTTTCTATTCAAATTTCCTTATTCACACATAGCTTTCTATTTCAAAGTTCACAATTTAATTTTCAACCTTTCGAATATTTTGTATCAATAGTTATATTTTTGTTTCTGAGTTCAAGCTTAATATCATTGTGGTAAGATAGCACACTTTGCATGATTTCATTTAACATTTGTTGAGGTTTGTATTCTAGCCCAGCATTTGGCCAATTCTGGTAAATATTCTGGTGGTCTTGAAAAAAACTACATTCTACATTTGTTTGGTGTAATGTTCTGTACATATCTACCAGGTCAACTGGATTAATTTTATTCCTCAAAAGTGTTATATTCTTAATGAATTTTTGTCTCTTTGCTTCCTCAATTCCAGAAAAAGAAAGTGTTTTTTCAATATTATTTTAGGTTTATATCCTTCTCCTTGATACCTATGTCAATTTCTGAATGGTATATTTGAGACTATATTAATAGGTGCATAAAATTTTAAGGCCTTTTTACTGTTATCAAATATTTTTCTTTATTACTATTTTTTTGTTTAAAGTCAACTAACCTAAAACTCACTGAAGTTAGTATTTTTTTAAGTCTACCATAGGGGCTTAGATACAGATATAGAACTTACTCTTTTACAAATAGTCTTCCCTAGTAGCTTCTCAGCAATATAATCTCTAACAGATTACCAAATTCTCTCTCACTCTACCGAAAGCATCAGAGCAACCTGTTAATCCTTTGTGGATTTCATAAGTATTTTTAGACTATGTGGGTGTTAGTGGGCCTTACATTTATTAACTTTAAAAACCATCATGAAACATCCACAAATTCTAGTATTTACTGAAAGTATTTGCTTGCCTGAAAATTTTCCCCCAATGAGAAATGGAAAAAGTATCTGATGTTAGTATAGCTATTATCTTTTTGTTGGTTGAACACTTAAATACTTTAAAAATATGTTTGCTTTTCATATTCCTGTATAATGTATTTAAGATGTTTCTCTTGAGAACAAAATATCATTGAATTTTCTTGATCAATCTTTTTCTTTTAACTCAAATATTTATTACACTTGCATTTATTGTACTTGTATATTTGTATATAAATTTAACATCTTACTTTTTTTTGCTGTTTTACTCGTCTGACTTATGTTCCATTTTGTCTTTTTTATTTTATCTTTTTTGCACTAATTAGCCTTAGATTTCAGCTTTTTCTTTATTGTTTCCTTTACATTCTTTAACAATTTTTAAAGATTATGCTAGGGATTATGTGTCATATCCCTGATTAGAATCTAATATATAAAGTGGTACTTTTATCACTTATTAAACAAAGCAAATACATAGGAACAGTTACTTCAACTCACTTAAATTTAAGACGTATTTTGTGTATTTTAACTTTTAACAGTCACTGAGGAATGGAAACATGCCATTCCAAGTGCATCCTACTTTAATTTCTGAGTTTCAAAACCATGATATAATAAAATATTTTGGAGTTTAACAAAATTTATTAACAGCTAACTGGCTCAGATTAGGATACCAGAAGTGGTATGCTGCCATAACAGATATCTGCAATACGAAGCATTGTCTCTGAGACTCAGAGACAAAGAGAAGGTGGAAGGTCCTAAAGAACGCATAGTGAAAAGTTGAATGAAGTGAGAAAATTGTTATCAGTGATATATCATTTGTGACTAGAATCTCCATAGACTTTGTTCTAGTTTGTGTCTACAATGACTATATTGCAAATTCATCAACTGACCCACATGAAACTGAACTTACTATCAAGTCAGAATGCACAAGGGCTTTGATCAATATAGGAAAGCATAACCCAAAATTGTCCATTATTCCTATGGTAGAATTACTAATTCATCAATAATCTGTTCAAACTCATAATTATTAACATCGTGTCTTATTTAAACTTATATTTTTCATTATTTTTCCTAAATAATTGAGGGCAACCACAATGAAAGAGGTTATTGAAATAAATAGTCCCTTAAAGTCACTTCTATATATTTCATATTTTAGACATGGGGATTCTGAAAAAATGGAACCTAAAACTCCTCTCTAAACATTTTGAAATTGTTATTTTGCAAGAACAATTTTTAAACATGA
Organism: Homo sapiens; assembly: GCF_000001405.40. Taxonomy (NCBI): domain Eukaryota; kingdom Metazoa; phylum Chordata; class Mammalia; order Primates; family Hominidae; genus Homo; species Homo sapiens. Next base: position 187,640,421 of record NC_000002.12, read on the forward strand.
ACATTCTGTCAATTTGATAAACATCTACATACTGACATTGGTTTCTTCTTAAGAATTGATTAGACTCGAGTATTATATATGTTAATAAAATAATGAAAATCAAGACAATGGCTATACTGTGTCCCCATTGCATAGTGGAAAAGCAGTGTTTTGGCAGATAGGATAAAAACAAAATTATATAACTAATAGGTTTTGTTAAAGATGAAGAAAATATTTCTACAAAAGATAAAGCACAATCACAAAACTTTAAGTGGAGAATCTTAAAAATTTGGGGGGATAGATGGTATTTTTGGGAAAGGATTTATGCTGTCAAAAAATAGTTATGCTCAGCCTTCTGAATACATTTAATATTATTCTGTGTTGAGTAACTGAGTTGTGATGCAAATCTTTGACCCGTTCCTTAAGTTTCTCTTGTTTAGTGACAGTGAAGCAGAAACTCTAATTAAACTAATCTAAAGGCAGTTGGAGATGATGAATTTTGTTTACGTGAAAACTAGTGAAGCTGTGCTGGTCAGAAGATAATTCATCAGCTAGTAAAAAATTAGTCAAAAGGACAAATTTCTCTGTTGATATCATGCAGAACATCTTTCAATAATTAAAGTTTCCTCCTTCCATTTCAGCAGATTTTACGTTTTCTGCCATCTGTTTAGAGTAGACACAGTGCTGATGTCTAATCAGCTAATGCACAACATTTTTCACAGGTAGATTTCTCTGAGTCATCAACTGCCTTTAGCCAACAGCGTAACGGTTTACTGTTGATATTCAGACATGGAGCTTCAGGAGCAGTTCTCAGAAGAGAATTTGGTTACTTGTGGTAGTCATAATTGTTGTTTGTCAAATATTTCAAATACTCTAATCCTCAACCTCCCTACCTTCTAGGCCCGTAGTAGTATTGCACTGCTGTCTCTTTTGTTTGGAAGTGCGTTGGTTTCTAGTTTAGGTCAATGAGTCATTAGCATTTAACTGTTGAAGTCAGAACTTAGCATGTACTTGCTACAGCAAGAACTCTTAGAGTCTTTATCTTTCCTCTGATATGGGAGCAAATATGATGTGCAAAGGTGACCGCTCTGTCATCCAAAGTCTCTGAGTGACTGTAATAAACAAAGGCCCCCTGATGGACATATAGCATAAACAAGAAATAAATATTTGTTGTTTAAAGCCTCTGAGATGCTGGGGGTTGTTTGTTACTGCAGTAATTCTCAACTGAAATCCATATCACCTATGACTTTCAAAGCAGATTTCTATTCTTAAGAGTATAGCACTTTGTTTTGCAGAAATCAGTGGTGCATTATTTATTTATTTATATATATGTTGTAAAGTCTCCAAATGGTATACTAGTTTGATAGAGAGATATTTTCTGTCAAAAGCTCTCATTTCAGGTGAATTTATTATCTAAAAAGCACCTATATATCTTCATTCACATACACCAGCTTCTTGTTTCCTTGCACCAAGAAAACATTATATTGTCAAATGATAGGATTAGAATAGTCTTTCTTTAAGTGTGGTCTACAATGAAGAGCACCACAATTAATGACTTTGCTTATTAAAAATGCAGATTTCCCCAAAACCTTGCTCCAGGTCTATTGAATCTGAATTACAAGAAATTTGTGGCTGTACAGAAAATACAGAAAACAAACATTTCCAACAAGTTCTCCAGGTATTTAAAATATACAGCAATATTTGAGAATCACAGCTTCCTGAATACTTTTATACAAAATTGTTATATTTATTTAGAATGTTAAAGTATCAGCCAATTTGTGTAATTTCTAGTATTAAGAGAATGGTGAGTGACAAACTTACAAAACTTGAACAGTAAACATTATTTTAGATGCAAATTGAATGATTAACTTTTTTCACAGCCTTAAAAGCTTGGAACAATTTTGGTGTTTGATTTAGCTTTTTGCTTACAAACTATATTGTTGAACTGTGCTGTGTATCTCTTTGTATCAAAGGCTGAAAAACAGTGGCTGAGTAGACTTTACATAAAAAATATAATAAAATCTGTTGCAGAATGACAGGTTTAAGTTGTCTTCATGTGTGAGTTGCCAAATTTTCAAGATAGCACCATCATTTTATTTGTATGTGAAATATTATATGTTGCACCTCAACCTTCCGTTTACAGAAGTATTTTAAGGGCTACAATATAATGATATCATCCAAATTGGTGGTGTTCTGCCCTGGAGAAGTCTGAAAAAATTTGTACAAGTTAGGCTAGATTTTATCAAAATTCTTTCATACATTTCCAAACAGAATCCACATTACTGGCATTCTTAACCTCAATTGCTCTCAAAAGTATTATTATCAACCAGCATGGGAATGAACGGCCAGTGAAATTTTATTGGTGGAGAAAACAGATGCTTGCGGTGATAAATTTCTGCAGTTTTGTTAGCATGCCATGATAGACACTGTTATAATCTATTTACATACATTATATATTGCGATGCTAGGGAATTTTAAAAAGTAGTATTCAATAGTTACATGTCTACTTGAATGAATTTGGAATATGATTCCACATTAATGCCAGCACTTCTATAAATATCCCCCAAATAACTATGCAGATGATCCTGTCACTCTTTCTGGTGTAATAACATAATAGCTAAAATATTGTTTTTGAGTAGAAAAAAAATACTAAGTATTTTTGAGTAGCAAAAAATACTAAGTATTTTTGAGTAGCAAAAAATACTATGTATAAATTGTGTCATTTATTTCTTACAATGACTCTATGAGGGGCATACTATTACTATCTCCATTTAATACAAGAGCAAACTGAGGTTCATAGAAGTTAAATAGATTGCCTAATTAGTTTATACTTTATTGTTCAGCTTTGTATATGACATTCCCCTTCCAGACTGAAAACCAAAAGATAAATTATTCAATAGTTAGATGATCATTGATGGTTTATATTGGCAGTTCTAATGTCACATTATATACATAAATGCATATGCCTTTTCTACACAAGAAAAATCATATGGATATATTTTAGATAAACGTATGTAAAAATGTATTTTTGACCATATATTGAAGTAACATTGATCATTCGGTACCAATTCATCTTTTGATGATTTACTAATTGTTATTTCTTAACATCAAACTGATACATATTGAGTATGTGATGAGCAGTGTTGTATGTGCTAGAGATGTATCAGTTGAACCAAACAACAGTCCTTTCCTTTAAGGAGTTTATATCATAAAAGGTCAGTGATCTGTGAAAAAAGACATTCGAAAAACATATATAATTTCTATTGCATATTATATAGTGATAAGAACTATGGAAAACAAGAGGAACAGAAAAGACTATACTGAATTATGAATACTGTAGTTGAGTGGTGAGAATGAAATTTAAATTACAGTGCTCTGGAGGGTGCCACTGAGGATGGACATTGAGCAAAGACTCAAAACAGGCTAGGAAGAATTAGTTCTATAAAATTTTTAAATACCTGGCCCTACATAAGTGACAAAGATATATTTAAATATATTTAAGTACTAATATCTGTCTCTATTTCATAAAAGTTCATATGCATTTTCCCCACTATTAAACATCTCTACAATATGGATACATCTTGCCAATAGTTGTTATGAGGATTACACTAAGTATAAATGTAAAGCCCTTTAATGTTGCTGGCATGTAGTAAGTGCTTTATAAGTACTACTGTGCTTATTCTCTCCCACAATTCTTAAAAATAACATCTTGCTTCCAGCATTTAGAGGTTTATTATTCTTAAAAGTATATTTATTTCAACTAAAACATTATTTTATATGATTACTTTTTGCATCTTTGGAAGATTTCAGGAAAGAGTTTTTATTTTTTCATACTGTTTTGGAATTTTGCATATTGTGATTTGTCTTTAGCACTTTTAAATTTTTATATCTGTGCACTTTCTCCAAAATTAATTGTTTTTCAAGGAGAGGATTATGTCTATGTCACTGATGGCTTGCAGCATGAGATGTTTGATGAAGATACTATTAATTGAGAAGAAAATGTTTTATGATAAAAAAATGACTAGCGGAAAATAAAGTAAGATGTTAATGTTACTACAAAATAAAATATCTGAGACAAGATGCAGAAGATAAGTTAGCATTTGAACTTTTTGCCATGACCTAGATGCCAATACATTTCCTTAAAATAATCCAATCCAAATTGTATAAAGCAGTTAAAAGATAATTAAAGAGGTTTCTGAATTTCTTGTTTTCTTAAGATGTCTTCTACATTTCTGTTTCTAAAAACTTATGAATCACTTGATCAGTATTGGGCATTCCCCACTAATAAGCCTCAAAATTTGTAAGTATGTCATGGATTTTTAAAAATACATGGCAGAAAAAATTATTTTCCTTTATAACATACCTGTTTCATGAGTCACTATAATTTATATTACCATGAAACTTATTCACTTTTTGTGAGGGAAGAGGCTCAGAAAAATTAAGAAAGGCCCTAATCACATTAAAGGAAATCAATTATATTTATCAGGAAATTCATAGCTCTTATATAACAATACAACCATATATTATAAAATTATGCCATACTCTGAACAGGATTAAAATACACTTTTTGGCAAGCTTGAAATGGATTGTAATTCTCTATTTATAATCTGTAATGCAGAATAGTTTCTGGAACAAAAAGAATGGTTATTTTTAAGTATTAGCATAATATAAATTTTTGACTAATGGTGAAAATATTGATTCTATTTTTCTAACATTGAGGATAGGAATTTATGAGTCAGTGAATAAAAATAAAAGGCAATCAGCAGCAAGAATCAACAGCGAGGGCAAAATGGTTTTAATGCTTTTTCCTTTCATATGTTTCCAGGAAATGGTGCTCCCAACATGATGAGCACTAATAGACAACTGTATTAGTCAATATGGCTTTTATTATTTTTAAATGAATCACAACATGTGATTTCTCTGATAGCTTATAAAATATAAGTTTGAGAGAGAGGTGTCAGTACTATTGGTACTAATTTGTCTCCATATATTATTTTCTCCGAATAAAGTTACAGAATTTTGTTGCTCACAAAAAGTGCCATGCATTACATTCATAAAACAATGCAAATGATGCCTGTGTCTGTGTACACACTCTAGTTTATAAAATCTAATTTGAAAATTATTAACTTGAAAACTGAGATGTATTTAACTTTTTGAAGGACTCATCACAGATTTTCTTCAGGTAGATAATTTTCTCTTTCAACACTTTAATTAAAACTTATTTGTTTCACTTCCTCAAACCCACCTATGTTGTCCTTCAGGCAACTGTTCAGAGATATAATGGACTTCATCAGCCAGTACATTCCATCAGCTGATCCATGAAGATATGAAACTTAGATTTGATTAAGTTAATAATTAAGTTAGAGTTATTTGTTTTTGTGTGGTATAGCTTACAAATGATGACAACCCACACAAATGAACAAAGATTATAAATCAAGTTTCACCAAAGATGCAGATCATCTTTGACAGAAATTGTTGTTTCTTTCATTTATTTTTGAATAAAGCGCTAATATAAAAATATATTAATTACTCATATTAAATCAGACTCTTTTTATTGATACATAGTAGTTATTCATATGTATGGGGTACAAGTATTTTGTTGATACATGCATACAATGTGTAATGATCAAATAAGGGGAATTGAGATATCCATAGCTGCAAACACCATTTCTTTGTTTTGGAAACATTCCAAATCTTCTCTTCTAGCTATTTTGAAATGTACTATAAATTCTTATTAACTATGGCCATCCTAGTATGCTACTGAACACTAAAACTTATTATAAGTGAAATATTACAGAAATATTTTTAAAACTTCAAGGGAGGAAACACTTTTGAAAGAAAATTATACTATAAATAATCATTTTGAGCCCATAAACTTTTTAATGGAGCATCAATTATACATTTAAACAACAGACTAAAGTTCTTAAGAGGAATCGGAAGAAACCAAAAAGGATTTAGCAAAAAACTACAGAGTTATCAAGGTCTTGACACAAAAACTTATGGAGAAAAATTACCCTATTGTGATTTTTTCAGACATAATATTTGGCATACAAATCCTAAATGACATTTCAGTGTGTCATAGAAGGGTATAACAAGAATGATAATTATTCCACTTTTAAATTTTTTATTCTTGATGCTACACAATCCTGATGAAAAAAAATCTTGGTAACATATATGTAAAGATAGGAATTATATAGTGAAGAATCAACTAAGAGAAATGAAATGCATTCTCTGGTAATGTGTGATTCCATTTTATGTAGTCCTGAGTGAAATCTTGGGATGCAAGCACATGCCATCGTCTATGGTTAAAAATATTCCATGTAGCCAATAGTTCTTCTAGATCACAGAGTGCATGTCTGAACAAAGCTTAGACATTCCAGGCCCAAATGTTATACCCTTCTTGCCAGCTCTGAAAGAAGCACATATGGAAGACTATATGACATCTCTGAGAAGATGTGTCACTGAAATAATGTTCCCTGAATCTAATGAAACAATGTTATATGCATGCACATACATAAACTCACAGACAATATTATCTGCAGATTGATTTTGGCTTTCATTTGCCTACTTCTTTTCTTCTTTAATCAAGTATTAATTCCATATTCCATATCCATTTATTAATTACCTGCTTAATAAGGGAGCATATCACTATGCTGGACCTAAACTTAATACTAGAGAAAGTGAAAGTATGCTCTGGTTAAAAAGACACACACACATACACACACATGCACACACACACACACCTCTTTATATGTGTGTATATATACATACAAACATACATACACACATATACATATATGTGTAAGGAAAAAGTAAAAGCCAAAGATAGTAGATATAAAATGTACAAGTACTGAGAATTTCAGAGTAAGAAAATCTGTGTACCTGTGCATTGTAAGATAAAAACCTTATTGAGGCATTGGTTACTTGGAGGAAGTATTAGAGGAAGTATAAACAAAATTTGGAAGGTAAGCATTTCTAGAAAGTGGAGAGTTTAATCAATGACCCCAACAGGTAAGAAAAATCAAGACTTCAATATTATGTGATAAGAAAATTGCTTGTTGGGGGCAAATAAAATGAGATAAATGGTAAAGAGAGATCAATTACATACACATTATGTGTTATATTGAGATATTTTCTTCAATATCATTTAAGTAGTCAACTATGGGTGATTTTGATGATGATAGTGGTAACAATGAAATGACATATTGGTGAAATTTGCAATAAATTTGGGATTAAGAATGCAATATGTACTTGGAATCCATACAAGGCACTAATGGTTTGGCAAGTTAGAAAAATTAAGACAATGCCACAGTGTTGCAAGATATAGCAACAATATGCTCCATGTGATTCTCTCTTCACATTTAAAAGCACTTTTTATTTGCAGCTGCAAATGTAAGCCTTGATACTTCCAGTACTATTTAAATTGCCTTGTAAGAATGTTATTTTATACTTGTAAATATTTGTTAATTCTAAATGAAATTACCACCATGTGACACAATAAAATGCCTAATTTCTCATGAATAGGAAATCAAGAAATACTGTGTGTGCAACTAAAAACAAAAAACTACAATCTAAGGATGTATTTTCAGATAAATGAATTACTATAAATGAGTTGCTAATGAAGTATTCTAGATTCTCCATTGAAGTTCTGAAAAAAATTATCTGACTTCTAAAATTGCCATATAGGGAGTAATTATTTATATAGAACAAATTAGCTCAATAAAAATCAATGATCTTTGTACATATAAAAATAGGGCAATGTCAACTAAATAGCAAAGGACATAATTGTGCATATATAAGAAAATTTTGATAAGTAATATTGCTCAGGCAGTAATTTATTTTCTGAATGTATGTAACTGTAGATAAAAAATTAAAATTGCTGCTGTAAAGAAATGCACTATTTTTGAAGGAAAACCTAAAAATATCCAAAATACACTGAAGTACTTGTGCCAAAGAGATGAACTGAGTTCAATAGCACCGAAATTTTATTTCCAGCAAAGCAAGATATTATCTATTCATTATTGTGATCACATTTATATCTTTCTTTGTTCATCACAGGCCTTAAATTATAAATAATTAGGGATCACCAAGAATATACATAAAATAAGCATGGTTAATTATATTAGTTCTGCTATTTGTTAATTTTCTGCATTAAACAGACATAATTTAGGTTACTTTAGAGGGTGGGGCTTTATGTTAAGGATATATAGAGAATAGTTAGGAAATCTGGGAAATAATCTTATTGGCATAGTCTGCATTCAAGGATTGTTGGGCATGTTTAAGATGCCGCAAAAACTCTGAAAATGCAAATCCAACTTTGAAAGTTTTTAAATTTTCTTAAGTATCTTCTTTCTATCTTTCCTATATTTTTCCTAATAACTGTATTGATTGCCCCTTTTGTAGTCTGCTTCCTTTTATATCTGGCCTTCTGCTGTCTGTATCAGCATTTGCACTGCTGTACTCCATGTAACTGCTGCTCAAGAACTACAGAAGCAAAATGGGTGAGCTAGCAAGTCCCTGAATCTTTGAGCAGAATTCTAATGCTTGCCTACCCAGATGCCTTTGGAAACAAATCTCCAATGAAAGCAGCTATGTCCAAGCAGGGATGCTTGCAGAGTTCAAAGTGTAAGAAGCTTAACATAGGGAGTGTATATACAGAATCTCATGATTTGACCAAAAAATAGCCATGAAAGTTTTCCAAAATAAGATGAATATAAATGTCTCGTCTGTCACTGAAAAAGGCAATGACCAAGTCCAGAACAAAGAATATTACAAAAAGAAATTATCATATAAAAATGAACCAAACTAGCAAGTGACATGACTATGAAAAATAGTTTTTTGTGTAAGAGAATACTTTTTCTATTGATATTTGTAACATTCATTTGAAAGATAGAGTGATTTCCTCTCTTTTGTCCAATCATGTTACTTGGTATTTCAATTAATATTATTTTCATTATGATTATCATTCAAAAATTGATTGTGTTTAATTAATACAATGAATGTCTGTAAGAATTCTCTAATTTCCTCAAGACTGTTCCACAATGAGCAACTCTACCACAGGAAGAGTAAATATAAGTAACACAGCACAAAATTCAGACAAATAGACAACTCTAAATATAAATATACCCTCAAGTAAAGGGCTTTTCTATAATTAAATATTTTAAATATATTTTAAAAAACTAAATGATATTAAAAGTGACAAACATGTATTTATTAAAATTATATACAAAATAGATCTATATTTAGAATATTCGCTAACATATAATTTATTCAAAATATTATATACTCTGTTTTTGGCCTAATCACTTTTTATTATGCTAATAATTGAAAACATTTTAATAATTTTGATAAAATAATATTTTCTATGCTAATGCTAAGAAAAATATTAACTTATTTTATAGTTTAAAATAAGCATATTTATTGAAGTAGTGGGCAAACATAAGGCCTATGTCCAACTCACTTTAAAGTTACCGTATTACTTCTAGTCATACTAGAGTATGTCCAAAAAGTGTCCAAATATGTGCAGCGGTTCCCTTGCAGTCTGAATATTTGAATATTTATTATGTCTCCTATTGCCCTAAAAAAATTAATGAAATGTCAAATTTCAACTTAAGTGAATACCCATCATCCTTAAGGAAAAAGGCTATCATAAACAACACCAGTTCCAGGAATAAAAATGTGAAAGCATTTATCGTATAAAATGACTGCAGATGTGATTTAAAATAAAATGCTAGTAGCATCTTTGTTCTTCCATTATCATCTGGAGTGAGGATCAAAAGTAAAAAGTAAACTATTTTTTAATAAAATTAATAGTGAGGTAATTTCTTTATAATTCACATTAATGAGCAAGTTATATTCTTAAAATATAGTTCCAAATGTGATAAATTCCTTGGACTTCTATCTACCGAATGTGTTACATTTTCATTGCTCTTTTCATTCAAAAGGAATTCTTGAATTTAGACAATTAGTCCCATCTGTAAAAACAATAAGTACAGTTATTAAAAATAGTATTCAAAATTACAAAAAATATAAATAAATATTGCTAAAATTTTGTTACTTTTTAAACTTTAAAAGTATAGTTTTATAATATTGTTTGATTTTCTGATATGATTACCTATATATCTTAGACAAGAGTTTTTTATTTTAATTCAATGGGTAATGATGCTTTTGATTTTTCTTCCAGCAACCCACAATGTACAGTCACAGCCAACAAGGTATAGGCATGTGGCTACTTCCCTGGGTGTGTAACAATGATCCCTCTACTTCAGCAAGATCTCTCTTCTGTGTTCCTTTATTTGTTCTGTGAAAATTTTATGACATCAACTGACAACACTGTTCTAGGAACAAGGGTTTCACAGTGGACATGCTCTCACATTTTAGTGTAGAGAGTTAGATAGTGAATAAGCCAACAACCAGACGAGATAATTCCACATCATGATGACTGCTCATAAGACACTTACCTCTTTTGTTGATAAGTCTATGGGGTATTGGGCTACAGACTGAATTTTGTGTTGAGAAGCTACATTAGCTTAGATTGTGCCTTTCTGGGCAGACAATATTTAATTTAAAACCTGAATTTTAAAGAGTCCAGGACAATGAAGACTAGGCACGGGGAAGTATTCCATAAGAGACAGCAGATACAAAAGTCTAAAGCAGGAATGAACTTTGTGGATATGATATTTTTAAAAGTGGTTTGAGGCTGGTCTATGGGAAAATCTTTAGAGCTGTGTAAATCTACTGTAAGAAATTATTTACTGCTTGAACACATTATTCTCTGAAACTTTAGCGAACTTGTCAGGACGATGATGGACAAGCAATCAATAAACTGGTCTTCTATAGACATTTTACTCTTCTACAAAATTGCATTCACATGCATGCACATTCTCTCTACTTCTAGACCTCTCAGTTACTAGCATCTCCATTCTCCAGATGGAGAATGTGTAGCATAACATCGAGGATTCATCTTGTTAGACCTACCTGTTGTACAGTACCCTCTGTGAGAAATTTACAATTGTGTAGCATAACATTGAGGATTCATCTTGTTAGACCTACCTGTTATACAGTACCCTCTGTGAGAAACAGGGCAACAATGAATGGGAGAGATTAGTTAAATTATGTCCAGTTACTAAATTCACCTGAGAGAGTTGCCACTCCTTTATACTTCTTTTGTTCATTCCTATACCCTTTTCTTTGCTTGCCTAAGTGCCTATGGTCAAATAACTGATTTTAGACTTCCACCAAGATGGTGACGGGGTAGAAAGATAGAGTGCATTTCAAATTATTACACATTTAAAAAGTGAAACTTCTTAGGAGTCTCCATTAGAAGGTTAGATTGGGAAAGAGAGTTATTTGCATAATGAAACATTATAAATTTATTTTTGGGTTCAAAGAGATCCTGCTATTTTTGACCCCAATTAACATAACTAATCAAGGACTAATCTACATATCACACTTATTGACAGTCTTAGTAAGTGGCCAGTCAACATCAGTCACTGCCAATCATATTTATTTATTTATTCATTTTTATTTTTGGAGATGAGGTCTCACTCTGTCTCCCAGGCTGTAGTACAGTGGTGCAATCATAGCTCACTGCAGCCTCAAACTCCTGGGCTCAAGCAGTCCTCTCACCTCAGCCTTCCAAGTAACTGGAAGTACCAATGCACACCACCACACCCAGCTAATGCCAATTATGTTTCTTTGGCTCTCAACAGGCCTATAACTTGTTATTCTGTGTGATAAACCCCATAAGTTGAAACTGTGCTACCAAATATGGATAAATCTGCAGTTGCAATGAGATTAGAAAGTTAAAATATGTTGCTATAATATAAAAGTCTAATATATTTGGAGGCAGCATTACATTTTACAAAACATGGAATTTTTAATAAGTAACATCTACATATTTATTCACACGTATACATATATTATTTCATGAGAAAACATAGGTATTTAGGATTTAAATAGTTTATGCATTTGATTTCTTTGTTAGTCTATTCAGATAATTCAAGAGGCTTACTTTATATGAGAATTAAATAAGCAATTAAACGACAGCCTACCGTAACCTTTAAGAGAGCTCAACAAAATTGGCTTTATAAAAGATTAATACATACAATTAAAATGTTTCTTTCATACATGCAAAAAATTAAAATATCTATTACAATATGTTTTCTGTTCAGAATTTAAAAGGACAAAAACTATGGGGAAAACTGAAACTACTGAGACCTAATAATGGGCAGACACACATACAACATCATAAATATTGAAAGTGGCATTTCAAATCAAGGGGCAAAGTATGGACTATGTAATAAATGATGTAGAGTGAGGCTCACTCCTGGTTAAGCCCTTAGGTGGCTGAGATTCAATGACTGATCAAGGCCAACACCAGACAACACTGATGGCCATTTCAGCTTCAGATCTCTCCCACTGGGTTAAGTGAGACTGGGATCTGCAACACAGCTCAGCTTCTCCCTCTGAACCATCTGGACTCCTTCTTTGCTATTTTATAGATGCTGCTCCCTGAAAAACAACATCCACCACACAAACCAATACCTCAGAATCTCTTTCCCAGAAAACTCAATCTGTAGCATGCTCATAATCCAGACTTATGCCATATGAAGAATATTTTCTTACCTAGAGGACAAGAAACATAAGGTATACTAGGCTTTCATAATTGGAAGTAGCTTGGCCATTTAATGATTAGACATAACCCCATTTTTTATAACCCAAATGAGACTGTGAACTCTGACTGAAAAGACCTAGAGCACTTATTTCTTTGTTCTAAAATGCACTCACTTCTTAACTCCCTTATGAAACTATCCCCAATAGGCTAAACTACCTATAGGAAATGATTTTTGGTAATATGGACTATAATTATGTCAAAGTTTTCATTAGAATAACTTACATTAAATAATAATCTGAATATTTTCCTTGCCCAAATTAACTCACAGAGCAAATGGAAATTGGAAACTTACATATAAAAAAATCATCTTTTCAGTTTTTCTTGACAAATTAGATCTAAGAAGCAGCCTACCTTGCTGCATTGGTGGGAATGTCCTTTTCCATGGAAAATGTTTTTCTGCTTCTCCACAACCATTATCACCCTCTTTCAGTCACATATAAGGTGACCATATATCCCTGCTGGCCTAGTGCCATCCTGTCTTACCCTTGTCACAACATTTCATTCTCAAATACCAACATTTTCATTCTCACTAGTGTCCCAATTTACATAGTAAAGTTCATGGACATGCTACTAATTTACCTTTCTGGCTTTTACTAAAGACATTTAGTTCAAATACCATGAACATGTAATGAGAGAGATTCTCAATGACTCCCTGAATCACCATTAATGCAATTTTCCCCTGGTAACAGACAATTGACTATAAAGAACCTTGCTTAAACACAAGTTCAATCATGATTTTTTCATGCTATAGATGGTAATAAGAGTTCCTTTATTATCTGTCAAGGGGATTTTCAGCATGTTAGTATAAAGTTGTTTGTGGCCCTGTCCCCAGTCTGAAAACCAACACACAGAGAGAAGCAAGATGACAGACCAAGTGAGTCCTAACAGGAAATAAAAGCCTATATCCATTGCTACTGTCATCCAGGCTTTTTCTAATTATGAGGGCAATGTATGTCATTTTTACTGAGCTAAATGGAATTCACATTCTGGTAAGATGCAAATAAAATGAATCATTCCAATAGCTTAGCTTGTTCATTTTTATTTACATATATAAATAGAATTAAAATAAAAATTTATACATATATATTTCAGTGAAATAATTTAATACTTTTTCTCTTCTTGCTCTTTTATATCTAATCTTAAGAATAATGATCTATTCCTTTATCTAACACTTCATGTTATATCCTCAGAGAGGAAGACAGAATTTAAATTTTAAAGTGTGAGAGAAACCTTAGAAATCATCTTCTGCAGCTATGTAATTTTATAGAAGTCACAGAAAAATTCCATGACATAATTGTTCATATCCAATCACAATATAGCACTGACTATAAAAAGATTAATCTACCTTTAATCTCACTTATTCTTCTGCTCTTATTGTCAACCTTTATTTTGGCAGGGGTGGGGTGGGGGCAGTAGTTGGCGGTGGTTAAGGGTAGAAGTGGACTCATTTATTTATTCTTTGAAAGAAGCACTCTGTTTATCCTTATGGCTTTACAATAATTATAGCTATTTTTTACTGTGTACCATTGTAATGGTGAGACAGACAGATGGGAAGGGCTCCCTGGCAAAACTCCAGCTGGCCTGCACACTGGGTTGGAGGCACAGAAGTTCACACCTGTTTGCAATGGAGAGGAGACTGGCCCCTCCTTTTCCTGGGTGGAACCGGAAATTCAAGCTGCAAGGAGGGAAGCTCACTAGCAGGATCTCTGGCGTTGGGAAGAGTCCCTGTTACCCCTTTTTTCCCTTTTTACCGAATAAAACCCTGCCTTACTCACCCTTCAGGTCATCTACAATCCTAACTTTTCATGGCTCTGAGACAAAGACTCCGTCTTTTGGTGAACTAAGGAAATGTCCTGCAACATTTTTGGCACACAGCATAGGACTTGAGAAGTGGTGAGTGAAATGGGAACTCAAAACCTCTCACTGTCGCTTCTAAGCTTTTTCATACTAGTATTTCTGAAGGTAGGGGAAACCATGCCCCCATCTCAGTCACTCCCAGGGGTCAGAGAAGTCGGCCTGAGTCTCCATGGCCTTTCCTTCCTTTTTTGGAACAGACCAGCAAGCATTGGCTCCCCTCCACCACTCCCCACCGCCACCCCCCCGCCCCCACCCATCCCTGCCAGAGCTGGGACACATGGCTGAGGCACCGTGGGTGGTTGCTTGGCGGGAGTCTCCCCGTCCTGGGGCCAGCTCCATCCCACAGCAATTAAACTTGTCTCCCTGGTGGAGGAACAACTTGCATTAGAGTAAGAGGTTCCTCCCCGGGTATTTTAAAACCGTTTCTTTTCTTTCCTCTTCTCCACCCCATCAGCAGTTAACTTTTATAGGTTTTTTTTTTCCCCCTTTTAGAAGACTTTACTAGGCCAGGCCCCCCAACTATCACTTTATATTCTCTGTAAAGTGTTGGTCATGAAAAAGAATCTTGTGGGACCTGGGCTTTCTCCTTCCTGTGTCTGTGATGTGTGTGAAGTCTGTAAAAAGAGCTCTAATTAATTTGGCCTACGAAAGACAAGTGCTTGGATCAAATATTTTTTTAAAGGGAAGATAAAAGCTGTGGTACCTTTTATTTCATGTGACTTTAATCTTTGAGAAATCAAAACAGCCTTAAAGATTATTGGTAAAATGCAGGTGTCATTAAAATGTAAACAGGTGAACTAAACTATGCAGGACAGATGCAAGGTTTGCTAAATATTTTACGGTTATAAACTACTTTCTGGGTTTTGAGAACTATTTGACTTGCTGCCTTTACAATTGGTAATGCTTAGGGACATAAGGAATTAACCACACCTTTAATTATGAACCTAGCACACAATTAAAACAACCTACCAGGTCATACATTAAAGTTAAAAATTGCCAGGAGTTACCATTATAACATGTAATTGAGACTACTGGAAACAGATTTACATGCAAGATGTGTAAGAAGAGCACAATGTGGTTTTTTTTGTGAAAAGTTATAAAAAGACATGGAAATGTAAATTTTTGCCTAGAGTTAAAGGATTGTTTTGAATTAGATAGGATAAAGCTGAAGGTTCCAACAAGTGGTGGAAGGATTGTGGAAATAAATCTTGCAGAAGAGGTTCTCTGTGTGAACATACTGACTAAATTCAAAAACGGTACTATATGGTTTTTCTGTAAATTGATCATTAAAATGAAAGCACAACAAGGTTTTCTTAAGGCACTATTCTTTGGCAAAATTTACAAAGGGTTATAAAAGATTTTTGTTTCTTTAAAATTTCCGAGTCATCATTTTGGCAAAATAAGTAACTTATGGTAATTTAGAATTCTGTTTTATAATATCAAGTGTTTTAAACCTCAAACGTATTTTACAGTCTTCCCAAAATCAAACTTCGGTTTTGAAATTGTCTTTCCTGACACCTGGCTTTTTGGATACTTAGAGGGCCCCTGAAACATCCAGAAAAGAGAGGCAAGCAAGATTATTTGACATATTTAGGTACATGGGATTGCCAAAATGATGTTCAATCTTCTTTATGTTATGTTTTATGAATAATGCTAATGTATGTTCCAAAATTGTGTGGGATTTCTAAAGTTCTAATGTCTAAGTATATGCTATACTTAGCATATTTAAGGTTGTTAAGTTATTGTAAGCTATGGAGATAACCAAACTTCTTTGTCAATTGTGTTTCTAACTGTAACTTCCCTGGATTTTTTGTTATTCACAGACAATTGTCCTGTTTTAATCCTTTTCAAAAGATAGTTTATAATAAGCTATAGAGCTTTAGCAGGTGCTCTCAAATACAGGCTTCTGATAACTTTGGAGATTATAACATTAGAATAAAGGAAAATGTACAAGAACTAAATGGACTGAACTCAGGAAACTGAAGCAATGTTTTTGATTTTTGCTTAGAATATTGCTGATCCTTGTTTTGCTTTTCAGAGTCAAGGAAACTTATTTTGAACTATTTATAGCCTTTACTAATTGAGTAAGGTATATTTTTGTGATCAAGATTTGGAATATGTTTGTTTCTCTCTGCCTGGTTCCTCTAGAATTGGGAAACTATCTGTGAGTATTTTTAACTTACGGCAACATGGTTGTTTGCATCAGTGCAATAAGAATACATTTTCTTTCGCAAGAGGACACAATTGGAAAAACTGGTAGCTTTACCAAGGCTTTGACTGGAAGTGTATGCTTCCCTTTAAAGAGTCAATCTTGACTTGCAGAGCTGATAGAAGTCCAGTGGGGAACCTGGCCTCATACCCTTGCCTACATAGTCCCTGTGCAGTGTTCCTGACCTGTGGTCAGTAAAGAATGTCATTCTGTAACATTGAGTGGAGCCTATGAGCTCCACGTTTATCTTGGGACCTTAAGAGGAGAGAATCACCCAAGACACAGGTATTTGAGGATACAAACCCATGCCTGGGCTTGGATTTAAAAGGTCTTATCTGAGATTCCTTGAGGAAACAGAGTTCCATCAAAGGCAATCCAAAAGGCCTATGTAGAAATAGTTGTTCTTGCTGCACTTTATGCAAATAATCATGCCAAGTATAAAACTAAAGTCTATTTTGCAAACAACTTAGTCCTATGATTATTTGTTTTTTAACAAAAATGAAGACTGGAGAGAGAGAAATTATATTTCAAAACTTACACATTGGTCATTATGTTCTAAACTCATTAGTTATTTTTAAGTTTTTGCTTACACTTTTAAACTAACCCTACTTATTCCTATGAACTAACCAGCAATCTCTGCCTGCAGCTTAAAAGGAACAAGAGAGATGGGTAATGTAAAAATCTGGATCAATATTCTAATTCTGAGCAATTATCCTGCAAATCCTGCCAGGTGATAGAAATAAGAAAGATGTCCATCACTCAGAGGTTTTCTTTTTGGGAAGGTAAGACCAAGGGTGCTAACCAAAGCCAAGCACCATGCACCCAAATCCTAGCAAGCATAACTATAGCCACCAGTTATCTGGGTGTGTCATAAGACATCCTTCTCTCTTGCTTGTTGGAGGGAGACTCAGTTCCATAGTTTCACCTTAGCATTCAGATTATGATAAGGAGTCCATGCAACATCCCACAGACACATTTGTCCCAAACTCAATTCTAAGCTTTGGGTCAAAGCCCTAGGAAAGAAAACTAGATATAAGAGATCCAGAGGCAGACAATAATGGAAGTTAAAAGGCACAGCATAGGTGAATGTGGCTGATTCCTGCAGATTAAGCCAAGCCCAAGCTTCCTGTTTCATAGATAAAGGCCACATTAGTATCCATGGCATAAATGAGATCTAGGTAATCCAAGGTTACTGATAGTAGGAGGGAAAAATACATAGGTGAGAGCAGACAATTCCTATTCTTTAGGCCCTCCCTGATTCATGGGTGCAAGCTGCTTTGCAACCCGTGGCGGCACCTGCCAAGGTCACCAGGATTTGGAGATGCAAGAATGGAGGAGGGAAAGAGGATGCTCTTCCCTCTCTCCCTCATGTACCCCGGGTATCTGCTAGGAAGAGAAGGGAACCAGGGATACCCGCTCCTCTCTTTCTAGATGGGTTGTCATTCATCTTCAGTCTGTATCTCTCTCAAATGCATCCTGAGCCCCTGGGATTCCTTTGAAAAATGCCTTCTTTTTTCCTTTCTCCTCCTCTGTCCTCTCTTCACAGATAGGTAATTGTGTCTCTGTACTATGGAACACTCTCCTCAGATACATCCTCTAAACTGGAAAGAGTTAATTTCCCAAACCTTAAACTGATTGGCTTAAGATTGGTCCCAGGGGAAGGGAACCCAGAAGCCTAACATGCTGGCAAGAGGATAAAGTTTTTTTTTTTTTTTTTAACCAGTGGGGCTTTTGGCTTCCCGCTATCTCTGCAAACTAGTAAAAGAACTCAGGATGTTTGAGCTGTCCTTACCCTTCCCCTTGTTTCATTTTCATAGATGTTTTCTAATAACCCGGTTTGTCGTTTTTTGACTTCAGGCCATCAAACTCAGGTCATGCAACCAGAGCCTCTGACTACAGCCCCTTCTGTCAGGCATCCTTAGATAAGCCTCTGAGGGAGCTCTGACTGCAGTTCCCCAAAACAGTCAGTAGGATGCAGTTAAGACCCGTCTTCATCCTTATCCTTTTCCTTATTCTAAGGGCAGTTAGATGCACTTCTTTAGAGGGGGCAATGAGACAGACAGGTGGCCAGGGGTCCTCAGAAAAACTCCACCTGACTTGCACACCTGGTGGAGACACAGAAGTTCACGCCATTGTAGCGGGGAGGAGATTGGCCCCTTCTCTTCCTGTGGAAACTGGGATTCAAGCTGCAAGATGGGAAGTGCACCAGCAGGGACTCTGGCCTTCTGGAGAGTCACTGTTCCCTCTTTTTTTCATTTTCACCCAATAAAACCCTGCTTTACTCACCCTTCAAATTGTCTGCAAGCCTAAATTTTTGTGGCTGTGGGACAAGGACCCTGTTTTTAGCTGAACTAAGGAAAAGTCCTGCAACAATGATATTTAATTTTTTTCCTTTTTCATTTAATCCCTGCTTCAGCTTTATGATATAAGGGATTTATAATCCCTGATTCAGCCTTATGATTAATTTCCCATCCAGCAAAGCATTCACTCCAAAGCAGCAACGTGGGCTTCTGTTATTGGATCTAAGTTATGAAGAAAAACTGGAAATGTGAATTTTTTTTTTAGTATTATACTTTAAGTTTTAGGGTACATGTGCACAATGTGCAGGTTAGTTACATATGTATACATGTGCCATGCTGGTGTGCTGCACCCATTAACTCATCATTTAGCATTAGGTATATCTCCTAATGCTATCCCTCCCCCCTACCCTCACCCCACAACAGTCCCCAGAGTGTGATGTTCCCCTTCCTGTGTCCATGTGTTCTCATTGTTCAATTCCCATCTATGAATGAGAACATGTGGTGTTTGGTTTTTTGTCCTTGCGATAGTTTACTGAGAATGATGATTTCCAATTTCATCCATGTCCCTACAAAGGACATGAACTCATCATTTTTTATGGCTGCATAGTATTCCATGGTGTATATGTGCCACATTTTCTTAATCCAGTCTATCATTGTTGGACATTTGGGTTGGTTCCAAGTCTTTGCTCTTGTGAATAGTGCCGCAATAAACATACGTGTGCATGTGTCTTTATAGCAGCATGATTTATAGTCCTTTGGGTATATACCCAGTCATGGGATGGCTGGGTCAAATGGTATTTCTAGTTCTAGATCCCTGAGGAATCGCCACACTGACTTCCACAATGGTTGAACTAGTTTACAGTCCCACCAACAGTGTAAAAGTGTTCCTATTTCTCCACATCCTCTCCAGCACCTGTTGTTTCCTGACTTTTAATGATTGCCATTCTAACTGGTGTAAGATGGTATCTCATTGTGGTTTTGATTTGCATTTCTCTGATGGCCAGTGATGATGAGCATCTTTTCATGTGTCTTTTGGCTGCATAAATGTCTTCTTTTGAGAAGTGTCTGTTCATATCCTTCACCCACTTTTTGATGGGGTTGTTTGTTTTTTTCTTGTAAATTTGTTTGAGTTCATTGTAGATTCTGGATAGCCCTTTGTCAGATGAGTAGGTTGCGAAAATTTTCTCCCATTCTATAGGTTGCCTGTTCACTCTGATGGTAGTTTCTTTTGCTGTGCAGAAGCTCTTTAGTTTAATTAGATCGCATTTGTCAATTTTGGCTTTTGTTGCCATTGTTTTTGGTGTTTTAGACATGAAGTCCTTGCCCATGCCTATGTCCTGAATGGTAATGCCTAGGTTTTCTTCTAGGGTTTTTATGGTTTTAGGTCTAATGTTTAAGTCTTTAATCCATCTTGAATTAATTTTTGTACAAGGTGTAAGGAAGGGATCCAGTTTCAGCTTTCTACATATGGCTAGCCAGTTTTCCCAGCACCATTTATTAAATAGGGAATCCTTTCCCCATCTCACCACTCCTATTCAACATAGTGTTGGAAGTTCTGGCCAGGGCAATTAGGCAGGAGAAGGAAAACTACAAAGAGAAGTTCTGGCCAGGGCAATTAGGGAGGAGAAGGAAAACTACAAAGAGAAGTTCTGGCCAGGGCAATTAGGCAGGAGAAGGAAACTACAAACTGCTCAATGAAATAAAAGAGGATACAAACAAATGGAAGAACATTCCATGCTCATGGGTGGGAAGAATCAATATCGTGAAAATGGCCATACTGCCCAAGGTAATTTACAGATTCAATGCCCCATCAAGCTACCAATGACTTTCTTCACAGAATTGGAAAAAACTACTTTAAAGTTCATATGGAACCAAAAAAGAGCCCGCATCGTCAAGTCAATCCTAAGCCAAAGGAACAAAGCTGGAGGCATCATGCTACCTGACTTCAAACTATACTACAAGGCTACAGTAACCAAAACAGCATGGTACTGGTACTAAAACAGAGATATAGATCAATGGAACAGAACAGAGCCCTCAGAAATAACGCCGCATATCTACAACTATCTGATCTTTGACAAACTTGGGAAATGTGAATTTTTAATGTAAGTTTCCAATTTTTCTATTATTATTAATTGGCTTGATTTTTTTTCTTTTTCTTTTTTTTTAATTTATTTTTTAAAAATAAAAGGAAGTGGCTGGGGACCCCGGTTGGGAGGCCCTGCCCAGTGAGGAGAAATGGAATCCAGAACCACTTTAAAAAGCAGTCTGCTCAAATTTTGGGAGAGCACCTGTGCTGTGCTGGGTCCACTTCAGCCCCTGATTGTCTCATACACTCCAAAGCCAAAAGGCTGGCACAACTGAGTTACCCAAACTGCAAAGATGGCAGCCAACTCTTCCCTCTGGGAGCTTGTCCCAGGGGATTTCAGATCTCTGTCGGCTGGGTAGCTCAGGCAGAGGTCCCGGTTTGGAGGTCCTGCCCAGTGAAAAGGAAAGAGATCAGGCACCTGCTTAAAGTCAAGTTTTGGTTGAGCAGCTATGCTATACTGGGGGATCCTTTCCACCCTGGGTTGGCTTAGACTCTCCAAAGCCTGAAGGCTAGAACAGCTAAGGAACCCAAACAGCAAATATGGTAGCCGAGACTTCCCGCTCTGGGAGCTCCTTCTTAGGAAGATGCAATGCCACTACTGGTAGCTGGCTGGAATTCTACGCCAGTGGGTCTTCCCTGGTGAGGAGTCATGGAAGTGGGGCCCGCAGGCTGTTGCTGCTCAGTTCCTTTAATTCAGCCTCTTTCCGAGTGTTATGTATGGGAGTATAACCTCTCACTTTGCTGGAGCTGCAGCTGCTTTTGCTGGAAAGCCCGAATATCTAAGTCTCCAGGGTCTCTATGCATGCCCGAGGGGCTGCTCTGCCGAGACTCCACATAGCTGTCTGTCAGACTGAAGATTGAAGGCCCTGGAGGAGTGGGTTCACAAGGAGATCTCCTGACCTAAGGGTTGCCAAGTTCTGTTGGAGAAGCATTGTTTCCTGGGGTTGCTCATTCACTCATCACTTCCCTGGGCAGGGGAGAATCCCCTAGCTGCTTGTTGCTCCCGGGTGGGCAGTTGTTCTGTCTTTGCTTTTCTTCATTCTCTGTGGGTCAAGTTGTTTCCTTGATTAATCCCAATGTGAGTACCTTGATGTTTCTGTTGAAGTTACTGTATTTACTTGTCTCTTCTGCTCCTCTTTGTGAGCGCCATGCATACTTGCTGCTTCTAGTTGGCCATCTTGGCCATTCCTTGAGATTCACTTTGTAAACTCTTTTAAATATTTTGGGAACTTCTTATTAAAGAACCTAAAATCAATGAGGTCAAAGTTGAGCCTTGAGATGAGAGACTAACCTCAGATTTTCTTCTGAAGCTTTCTGCTAGACTCCTTTCTTTTTCTCCAGCAAGCACAGCATGATGTCCACTGTTTGAGGAAGCCAGGATTTTTCTATTTTGTTGTTCCACTGTGTAGGAGGTATCTAGTTCCAAGGATACCTCATGGCTCAAGACAGTTTTGACTCCATTTTTAATCCAGCCTGTGAGCAAGCATCTTATTTCCCCAAGTCTAATAAATCAGACAAAATTATTGACTCTTTCAATCCTCTACTGACAAAAATATTTACTATCCCAAGTACTCCTGTCTATCTCTATCCTACATAAATTCTGACAAATCATATTGTGCATATAAACGTAATTCACAGTTAGAGATCTATTTTCTTGTAATGTAATTTGGTCTAAAACATAGGATGATGACACGTCCTGTATGAATCAATTTTGTCTCATCATGCAAGCAGCACGATAACCATATACTCAAATACCCGGAGCTAAGTGTATGTGTGCATGGTGCACGATAATAAGTGAGTGGGGTCTTAAGGGAAAATGGACCCTGATAACAAAAATAATGGGCCCAAGGTACCTGGTCTCATACGCTGATCTCATCAATCTCTGACATTATCATAACTAGATATGTCTGGGTGAAGTATTTAGTGAAGGAGAAGGGACTTAAAATATGCACAGCCTTCTGAGAAAATTATTTTAATTTTGGAGCGCTTTACACGACAAAGCCTTGGAACAAAGTTCTTTTTGATCTATGTATGATATGGATCCCAAAGCAGAACATTTCACACTTCATTTAACTTTCACAATTTATCATTCCCAAATAATACATCTAACTGACATGCTATAAAATATTTTTGGAAGAAAAATCTAAAGGTCTATGGATGAATGATTGAGGGAATTGGAAGCCAGGTAAACCACACACCCGGATCATTTCGTGAGTATTAGAGATAATTGTCATGGTTCTGAGGCTAGGGCCTCAAGATGGAAGAAGGAGAATGGGGGATGAAGAGATCAGGCTGATAATGTGACTGTTGAATGACAAATTTGTTCATCATACAGAGTATAATATCATCCATATGTTAGCTTTTAAATCATGTCCTTTATACATTTTCAAAGAAATAACTGCTGCCAGTTACAAAGGCTATTGGTAGTCATTTACATTTAGTCATAGCTCACCTGCTAGAGGCCTAACCCACAGCTGTAAATATAATATGATAATATTAAAACCACAATCACTGTTACTATACATGTAAAATACTTAAAAATAATTGTATATCTGGCCTGCATGACTTAGTGTTTTAAGACTTTTTTTATTCATATATATATCTTAGTATTAAGGAGTTTTTTTATCTTTATATTTTGTTTATTCTATGTTCATATTAATATAAATATTTAAAACTTAGTTTCTATTAATTTTTTCATAGACATATGCCATCTATTTTTGTCAGCTTTTAAGATCTATGTCTAACATTTAAATATTAAATAGTTTTATCTCCATTTTAAAAAAAGCTAGTGTTGAATTACACATAGAGTTTTAGAAACTGTATCTTCCTCATGAAAGAACTTTTGTAGAAGTAACTTGTGTATTAAGTACATAGTATTAAGTAGAAGAATAAAGATGATGCCTGATGTGCTCAGAGATGCTCAACCTTTGACCCCCTAGTTCTTGGCCTCAGCAAAGAGTCCAGTGTTCAAACTGAATGCAGAAACAACTAGACAACTAGACTTCGAAGGGTGATGAAGCCTTGGCCAAAGGGCATTTCAGAGGCTATAGGTGATGAGGAGGTGAGCAAAGGCTGATGGACTTCTCTGACTTTTGTTGTGATGAAAATTCCAAGGAATTTTTCATCATTGTTACTATAGGTGGTTAAGATTTTAAAGTGTCTGTTTTTAATGTTTCTAACTTAAATTATAAAAAGGTATGGAAAATGTTTTCTTTCATATTTCTAAGCAGAAACAGGCTTTTAGAAATACTCTGAGTTTAAAAATGCATAGGCAAACTCATGGATCAAGGTGTCCAAAGGAAAGTTAAATTTTCTCAATGATTTTCTGAACTCTGGATACTTTATATTTTTACTTATTTTTTTTTTTGTTGGTAACCAACATCAGCTCTTTTCTACCAAAAGCAGGTCTCTGTGAAGAATATTAGAACAGGGATGACAACCTTGGAGTAACCACTGGCATTCTCAAATCATATTACTAAGCATCCAAAATATAGTATATTCATTACTCAAAGTCAGCTGCACATATGAATGTGGTACTATTCCTTACTCAGACTTTTACATTGCATTTACAAATGTTGTCAATCAGCTAAAGTAAGTTTTATTTCTAGACAGATGAATAAATAAAGGAATTCATTGCCATTAATTTGAAGAGTTAACCTAGTTATGTATGAGATAGCTGTATGCACTGTCATTCTAAACAATTTAAAAGAAATTAGGGAACAGCTGACTGGGGAGCTTTAGAAGCTAGTGGGGAGAAAAAGAATAAAAAACAAAGAATAAATAATAGCCACAGGGGAAAGGGTATCACGAATCCTTACTACAACTTTCTAGGATAATTTTCTGGTGTACTTTAAAGATATACACTCTTACTAAAATTATTTACATTTGAAAGATGTCTTAGTACCATAAAGCAAGAAAAATAAACAAAAAGCATATAGTATAAAGAAAAAGTAGAGAACTTATCGTACTTATTCCCAGATTGTATGATTATTTAAAATCCATGAAATCTACAATACAAAAAAACTAAAACTAATAACTGAAATAAGCAAGATCTCAGTATAGAAATTCAATATCAGTTGTATTTCCATATATAAATAATAAATACTTGAAAATAAAAATGAAAAATAATGTTTATAATAGAATAAAAGGACATGTGTAACATATGATACACAAAATTCCCACACTAAAATTAGAAACATTACTGAAAGCAGTTTAAAAGACCTAGATAAATGGAGAGGTAGTCTATGTTTCTGAATTGGAGAACTCAATATTGTTATCTCATTCATTCTTCACAAATTGGTCAATAGAATCAATGCGATACCAGTCAAAACCACATCCAACTCAACTGTAGAAATGTCCAGGTGATTCTTAATTTATATAAAAATGCAAAGGTCCTAGAATAGCTAAATCCACATTGAAAAATAAGGCAAAACTGGAAGAATAACAACATCTGATTTTAGTACTATTAGCAATACAGGAATTCAAGCAGGGTAATATTAATGTGAGGATAGACAAATACAACAGTGGAGGGAGTAGAGAGCCTAGAAACAGAATCACCAATTTGTGTTTGACAAGGGCACCTGAAAAATTCAATAGGAAAAATTCAATGAGAAATAGTGCTGGAGGCTGCTCTGCCTATGGAGTAGCCATTCTTTTATTTCTTTACTTTCTCAATAAACATGCTTTCAGTTAAAAAAAAAAAGAAAGAAATAGTGTTAGAATAAGTAGATATTACATGAAAAATATTGAATAAACCTTGAAAAACCTACCTTAGACCATACACAAACATTATTTTGTGATGTTTTATAGACCTAAATATTACATCTTAACCTAGAAAATTTTGGAAGAAAATATAAAAGACTATCCTCATGACTGGAGTAGGCAAAATTATCTTAGAAAGGAAAGGAAATCTTTGAGCATATTAGAAATTGGTTAAGTAGGACTTTATCAAATTAAAACTTACGTTCTTCAGAAGACTGGTTTTAGAAAATGATGGCATGGATTTGGAGAAGATATTAGATGTGTGTGTGTGTGTGTGTGTGTGTGTGTTTGAGAGAGAGATCATTTATATTTAGAATATATAATGAACTCTTACAACTCTAAAAAGACACCACCAAATAAAAATGTATGAAAAGTTGAACACAGATCTCAGACCAAAAGATATACAAATAGCCCATAGTACAGACATGTCTCATTTTATTATGCTTCACTTATTGTATTTTGCAGATGCTGCATGTTTTACAATTTGAAGGTTTGTGGCAACCCTGTGTCCAGAAAGTCTCTTAGCACCATTTTTCCAACAGCATGTGCTCACTTCATGTCTTTGTGTCACATTTTGGTAATTCTCACAGTATTTCTAATCTGTCCATTATTGTTATATCTGTTATAGTGATCAGTGATCTTTGATGTCACTAAGATAATATTTTTGGGGAGCTACATAAGATGGTGAATTTAATTGATAAATGTTATGTGGGTACTGACTGCTCTACTGACTGGCCGTTCCACTGTCTTTCTGTCTCCTCAGGACTCACTATTACCTGAGACACAACAATATTAAAATTAGGTCGGCTAATAACCCTACAATGGCCTCTGAATGGTCAAGTGACAGGAATAATCTCACATCTAGCACTTTAAATCAAAAGTTTAAATTATCAAGCTTAGTGAGGAAGGCATGTCAAAAGCCAAGATATACCGAAAACTGGGACTCTTGTACCAGTTAGCCAACTTGTAAAGGCAAATAAAAAGTATTGAAGGAAATTAAAAGTGCTACTCTAGGCCAGGCATGGTGGCTCACGCCTGTAATCCTAGCACTTTGGAAGGCCGAGATGGGCGGATCATTTGAGGGTGGGAGTTCGTAACCAGTCTGGCCAACATAGTGAAACCCCATCTCTACTAAATATACAAAAATTAGCCAAGCATGGTGGCATGAGAATCACTTTAACCAGAGAGGCAGAGGTTGCAGTGAGCTGAGATTGTGCCACTGCACTCCAGCCTGGGCGACAAAGCAAGACTCTGTCTTAAAACAAAACAAAACAAAAAAAGTGGGGGCTGGGCACAGTGGCTCACGCCTATAATCCCAGCACTTTGGGTGGCCAAGGCAGGTGGATCACCTGAGGTCAGGAGTTCAAGACCAGCCTGGACAACATGGTGAAACTCCACCTCTACAAACATACAAAAATTAGCCAGGCATGGTGGTGGGCTCCTGTAATCCCAGCTACCCAGGAGGCTGAGGCAGGAGAAATCGCTTGAACCCGGGAGGCAAAGGCTGCAGTGAGCCAAGATTAGCCATTGTGCTCCAGCCTGGGCAATAAGAGCGAAACTTCGTCTCAAAAAAAAAAAAAAAAAAAAAAGTGAAACAGCCATATTGCTGATATGGAGAAATACTTAGTGGTTTGAATGGAAGATCAAACAGCCACAACATTCCCTTAAACCAAAACCTAATCTAGAGAAGAGCAACCTAATGCAAAACCTAATTGAATCTTACCTCTTCAATTCTACGAAGGCTGAAAGAGATCACAAAACTGCACAAGAAAAGTTGGAAGCTAGCAGACGTTGTTTTATGAGATTGAAGGAGAGAAGTCATCTCTGTAAGATGAAAGTACAAAGTGAAGCAGTAGGTGTTGATGTAGAAGATGCAGCAATTTATGTAGAAGATTTAGCTAGGATACCTAATGAAGGTGGCTACACTAAGCAAAACAAATTTTCAGTGTATACAAAACTGATGTCTATTGGAAGAAGGTGCCTTCTAGGATTTTCGTATCAAGAGAGGAGAAGTCGATCTCTGGCTTCAAAGCTTCAAAGACAAGCTGATGCTCTTGTTAGAAACAAATGCAGCTGGCGACTTTAAGCCAATGTTCATTTACCATTTTGATAATCCTAAAACCCTTAGGAATTATACTAAATCGACTTTGCCTGTGCTTTATAAGTGGAACAACAAAATCTGTATGACATCCCAGCTGTTTACAGCACGGTTTGCTGAATATTGAATGCCTACTATTGAGATCTATTTCTCAGAAAAAAAAAGATTCCTTATAAATATTACTACTGGTTAGCAAGGCACGTGGTTACACAAGAGCGCTGATGGCGATGTACAAGGAGATTACTGTTGTTTTCAGGCCTGCTAACATCCTTTCTGTGGCCAATGGCTAAAAAGTAATTTTGATTTTCAAGTCTTATTATTTAAGAAATACATTTTGTTAGGCTATAGCTTCCATAGATAGTGATTCCTCTGATGGATCTGTGCAAAGTAAATAGAAAATCATCTGGAAAAGATTCACCATTCTAGATGTCATTAAGAATATTTGTGATTCATGAAAAGAGGTCCAAATATCAACATTAACATGTTTGGTAGAAATTGTTTCCAAACCTCATGAATGACTGAGGGATTCAAGACTTCAGTGGAGGAAGTGACTGCAGATGTGGTAAATAGCAAGAAAACTAGAAATATGAAGTGGAGCCTAAAGATGTGACTGAATTGTTGCCATCTCACTTTAAAACTTTAACAGATGAGAAGTTGCTTGGTATATGTGATCAAAGAAAGTGATTTCTTGAGATGGAATCTACTCCTGGTGAAAATGCTGTATACATTGTTGACATGACAACAAAGGATATTTAGAATATTCCACAAACTTAGTGGATAAAGCAGCAGCAGGGTTTGAGAGGATTGATACAAAGAAATCTTACATGAAAGAAATAGTCAATCAATGCAGCAAACTTCATTGTTGTCTTATTTTAAGAAATTGCTACAGCCAGCCCCATCTTCAGCCACCACAACCCTGATCAGTTAGTCAGCAGCCATTTAAATAGAGGCAAGATTCTCCACCAGCAAAGACTATGACTTGCTGAAGGCTCAGATGATCACTAGCATATTTTAATTAAAAGGTATTTTTAAAATACGATAGGCATATTATGTTTTTAGATATAATGCTACTGCACACTTAATGGACTATAGTATCTGCACTGGGAAACCAAAACATTTCCATGACTTGCTTTATTGCAATAGTCACTTTATACCACTGTTCTGGAACTGAACCTGCAATATCTCCAAGTATGTCTTGGGATAATGGAATAATACATTGTCAGTGAATAGTTATTTTATATATATATATATTTATTATATATATATATTTATATTATATATATGTATGTTTATTTAAGACAAAGTCTCGCTCTGTCACACAGGCTGGAGTGCAGGGTGCCATCTTGGCTCACTGCAACCTCTGCCTCCTGGGTTCAAGCAATTCTCCTGCCACAGTCTCCCAAGTAGTTGGGACACTTCACCATGCCCAGCTAATTTTTGCATTTTTAGTAGAGATGGGGTTTTGCCATGATGGCCAGGCTGGTCTCAAATTCCTGACCTCAAGTGATCCTCCAGCTTGGCCTCCCAAAGTGCTGGGATTACAGGTGTGAGCCACCATGTTCAGCCAACAAATAGTAATATTTTGAAAGGAGTTTTTTTTTTTTTTTTTTATGAGCAGCAGTTCTCAATAGTGGGCTGAAAATATAAAATAATTTAAAATAATTTTGTAAGATAACATTAATAAACATTTGAGTGAATATCTCTGTAAACTAAATTCTGATTTCTCATTATCATAGTTTAGTTTCACTTCTGAATTCATAAATATGAAATCTGCAGTACATTTTTTAAAAAAAGTTTCTCACTGCTTGCAGAGGAAAAATAATACCTAGAAGAATACAGCAAATTATATAAATAAATTTATATAAAGACTTAAATCCTAAAAAAAAAAATACGGAACTCTTATCCTTTAAATTACCAAAGAAACATTACTCTTTTAGTTCACATTAAGTAAAATTATTTTACATTAGCTTTGCTGTAATTTTATATTCATATTAATATTTCCAAACTCAATGCCTTTGAAATTATAGCAATGAAACTTTAATAGCTAAATGGTAGGAGAAAAATGAATACATAGCCAAAAACCACGATTGTAGCTTTCATGCGCATCCGTGTGAAGAGACCACCAAACAGGCTTTGTGTGAGCAATATAGCTTTTAATCACTTGGGTGCAGGTGGGCTGAGTCCGAAAAGAGAGTCAGCGAAGGGAGATAAGGGTGGGGCCGTTTTGTAGGATTTGGGTAGGTAAAGGAAAATTACAGTCAAAGAGGGTTTGTTCTCTGGTGGGCAGGAGTGGGGGTCCCAAGATGCTCAGTGGGGGTGCTTTTTGAGCCAGGATGAGCCAAGAAAAGGACTTTCACAAGGTAATGTCATTACTTAAGGCAAGGACCGGCCATTTACACTTCTTTTGTGGTGGAATGTCATCAGTTAAGGTGGGGCAGGGCATATTCACTTCTTTTGTGATTCTTCAGTTACTTCAGGCCATCTGGGCGTATATGTGCAAGTCACAGGGGATGCGATGGCTTGGCTTGGCTCAGAGGCCTGACATTCCTGCCTTCTTATATTAATAAGAAAAATAAAAATAGTGTTGAAGTGTTGGGGTGGCGAAAATTTTTGGGGGTGGTATGGAGAGAGAATGGGAGATGTTTCTCAGGGCTGCTTCGAGTGGGGTTAGGGGTGGCATGGGAACCTAGAGTGGGAGAGATTAAGCTGAAGGAAGATTTTGTGGTAAGGGGTGATATTGTGGGGTTGTTAGAAGAAACTTTGTCATGTAGAATTATTGGTGATGGCCTGGATACAGTTTTGTATGAATTGAAAAACTAAATGGAATAAGAGAAGGAGAAAAACAGGTATAAAAGCACTAAGAATTGGGAGGACCCAGGACATCTAATTAGAGAGTGCCTAAGGAGATTCAGCATAGTCCTGCCAGCAAAGATTATTTATTTGCTTCAAGAGTTTAGAGTGGCGGTTTGGGGATAGCACCAGGAGATATCAGCTGTGATGGCTTGGAGAAACAGTCTAAACTGGCAGTGTAAACAAGAGCAGGTCATGTATGAGTAGTTGAGAATGGTGAATAGGAGTATGACTAGACAGAAGATAGTAGGGATGACAAGTTTTTTGGGGCACAGTCTAAGTTGGTCTGGTGTCGAATGAGACTGGGACCTAATAAAAAGGAGCGTCTATACAGGAGCTTAAGTGGGCTGTGCCTTGTAGCATTCTGAGGACAGGCCTGACTTCTGAGAAGCGAAAGTGGTAAAAGTATTGTCCAGTCCTTTTTAAGTTGGTGGCTGAGCTTGGTGAGGTGTGTTTTTAAAAGACCTTTAGTCTGTTCTACTTTTCTTGAAGATGGAGGACCGTAAGGGATATAAAGGTTTCACTGAATACTAAGAGCCTGAAAAACTGCTTGGCTGATTTGACTAATAAAGGCTGGTCTGTTATCAGACTGTATAGAGGTGGGAAGGCTAAACTGAGGAATTATGTCTGACAGAAGGGAAGAAATGACTGTGGTGGCTTTCTCAGACCCTGTAGGAAAGGCCTTTACTTATTCAGTGAAAGTGTCTATTTAGTCCAAGAGGTATTTTAGTTTCCTGACTCGGGACATGTTGAGTAAAGCTAATTTGCCAGTCCTGGGTGGGGGCAAATCCTCGAGCTTGAAGTGTAGGGAAGGGAGGGGGCCTGAATAATCCCTGAGGAGTAGTAGAATAGCAGATGGAACACTGAGAAGTTATTTCCTTGAGGATAGATTTCCACGATGGAAAGGAAATGAGAGGTTCTGAGAGGTGGGCTAGTGGCTTGTACTATAGCATAGCCTGCCTTTGCTGGTGTGTGGCAATTAGGCCTGGTGGAACTGCCATCAGTAAATCAAGAGTGATCAGGGTGAGGAACAGGAAAGAAGGAAATGTGAGGAAATGGGGTGAATATCAGGTGGATCAGAGAGATACAGTCATGGGGGTCAGATGTGGTATCAGGAATAATGTGGGAGGCCGGATTGAAGTCCAGGCCAGGAACAATGGTAATTGTGGGACTTAACAAAGAGTGAGTACAGCTGAAGGAGCCGGGGAACAGAAAGTATATGCGTCAGGTATGAGGAAGAAAATAGATTTTGGAAGTTATGAGAAATATAGACAGTGAGTTGAGCATAGTTTGTGATTTTTAGGGCCTCTAAAAGTATTAAAGCAGCAGCAGCTGCTGCACACAGACATGAGGGCTAGGCTAAAACAGTAAGGTCAAGTTGTTTGGACAGAAAGGCTACAGGGTGCGGTCCTGGCTCTTGTGTAAGGATTCTGACCGTACTTACCATGCCTAGGAAGGCAAGGAGTTGTTCTTTTGTAAGGGATTGAGGTTTCGGAGATTAGTCGGACACGATCAGCAGGGAGAGCACGTGTGTTTTTACGAGAATTATGCCGAGATAGGTAACAGATGAGGATGAAATTTGGGCTTGACTGAAGTAATGGGGGCCGTCTGTGAAGCCTTGGGCAGTACAGCTCAGGTAATTTGCTGAGCCTAATGGGTGTCAGGGTCAGTCTAAGTGAAGGCAAAGAGAGGCTGGGATGAAGGGTGCCAAAGAATAGTAAAGCATGTTTGAGATTCAGAACAGAATAATGGGTAGTAGAGGGAGGTATTGAGGGTAGGAGAGTATATGGGTTTGGCACCATGGGGTGGATAGGCAAAACAATCTGGTTGATAAGGCATAGATCCTGAACTAACCTGTAAGGCTTGTCTGGTTTTAGGACAGGTAAAATGGGGGAATTGTAAGGAGAGTTTATAGGCTTTAAAAGGCCATGCTGTAGCAGGCAAGTGATAACAGGCTTTAATCCTTTTAAAGCGTGCTGTGGGATGGGATCTTGACATTGAGTGGGGTAAGGGTGATTAGGTTTTAATGAGATGGTAAGGGGTGCGTGATCGGTCGCCAAGGAGGGAGTAGAGGTATCTTATACTTGTGGGTTAAGGTGGGGGGATACAAGAGGAGGACGCAAAGGAGGCTTTGGGTTGGGAAGAAGGGCGGCAATGAGATGCAGCTGTAGTCCAGGAATAGTCAGGGAAGCAGATAATTTAGTTAAAGTGTCTCCGCCTAATAAGGGAACTGGGCAGGTGGGGATAACTAAAAGGAGTGCTTAAAAGAGTATTGTCTAAGTTGGCACCAGAGTTGGGGAGTTTTAAGAGGTTTAGAAGCCTGGCCGTCAATACCTACAACAGTTACGGAGGCAAGGGAAACAGGCCCTTGAAAAGAAGGTAATGTGGAGGGGGTAGCCTCCGTATTGATTAAGAAGGGGATGGGCTTACCTTCCATTGTGAGAGTTACTCGAAGCTCGGCGTTTGTGATGGCCTACGGGGCTTTCGAGGTGATCGGGCAGCATCAGTCTTCAGCCGCTAAGCCAAGGAGGAGTCAGTCAGAGAGCCTTGGGCCAGAGTTCCAGGGGCTCTGGGAGTGGCTACCAGGTGAGTTGAACAGTCTGATTTCCAGTGGGGTCCCGCACAGATGGGACATGGCTTAGGAGGAATCCTGGGCTGCAGGCATTCCTTGCCCTGGTGGTCAGATTTCTGGCACTTGTAGCAAGCTCCTGGGGGAGGAGGTTCTGGAGGAACGCCTGGCCACTGCGGTTCAGGCATTTGGAAGTTCTTGTGTGCTGGAGATGTGGCTGGGTTTGTCTCACAGTGGAGGCAAGGAATTGCAGCTTTTTTCTATTATTGTACACCTTGAAGGTGAGTTAATTAAGTCCTCTTGTGGGGTTTGAGGGGCAGATTCTAATTTTTGGAGTTTTATTTAATGTCAGGAGCAGATTGGGTAATAAAATGTATATTGAGAATAAGATGGCCTTTTCATCTTTTAGGGTCTAGGGCTGTAAAGCGTCTCAGGGTTGCTGCCGAATGAGCCATGAACTGGGCTGGGTTTTTATATTTGATGAAAAAGCCTAAACGCTTCTGATTTGGGATAAAGAAAAAGGAGCATTAACCTTGACTATGCCTTTGGCTCCAGCCACCTTTTTAAGAGTAAATTGCTGGGCAGGTGGGGGAGGGCTAGTCATGGAATGAAACTGTAAGCCAGACCAGGTGTGAAGAGGGGAGGTGATAAAAAGATTACAGGGTGGAGGAGCAGAGGCTGAGGAAGAATTGGGACCTAGCTCGGCCTCGCAAGGAGGGGAGAGGTCAGATGGGTCTGTAGAAAAGGAAGATTAGAAAGACTCAGCGACGCTTGGGGTTGGTACCGAGGGGACAGGCGGGAGGGAAAGAAGATTTGGGAGGAGTTGCACTGGGCACAGAGACTAGGAAGGGACTGATGTGTAAAAGAATGCCTGTACGTCAGGCACCTCAGACCATTTGCCTATTTTACTACAAGAATTATTTAGATCTTGTAGGATGGAAAAATTGAAAGTGCCGTTTTCCGGCTATTTGGAACTACTGTGGAGTTTGTATTGGGGTCAAGTGGCATTGCACAAGAAAATAAGACACTTAGATTTTATGTCAGGTGAGAGTTGAAGAGGTTTTAAGTTCTTAAGAATACAGGCTAAGGGAGAAGGAGGAGGAATGGAAGGTGGAAGCTTGCCCATAGTGAAGGAGGCAAGCCTAGAGAAAAGAGTAGAGACACGGAGAAGGGGTGGGGGTTTCTCGCCCTCCAGAAAAGCAGAGAATGGGTTGGGACACTGAAATAAGGGATTGGGGCACAGAGATAAGAAGTTGGGGTGTGGAAATAAGGGATTGGGGTGCAGAGATATAAGAGGTAGGGGTGCGGAAAGAAGGGATTGGGGCACAGAGATATAAGAGGTTGGGGCATGGAAATAAGGGATTGGGTGCAGAGATAAGAGGTTGGGGCACGGAAATAAGGGATTGGGGGTTCTTGCCCCCTAGAAAAGCGGGACTTGCCGCTAAGGGTGAAGGAGAAGGGGTTGAGGAGTACTTGCCCCTCTCCCAGAAAAGCAGAACAGGGGTAGAGACAAGGAGAGAAGGGGTTGGGGTACTTCCCTCTTCTCCAGAAAAGCGGGACTTGCCGCTAAGGGTGAAGGACCAAGGCAGGCGTCCCTGCGTGGTCTGACACCTTTGAAACGTGGGTGAATAGTCAGAGAGGTGTCCCTGCAATGATTAAACACCAAGGGAAGGCTGCCTTCCCAGTCCATGACTGGCGCCCGAGTTTTGGGTCCACGGATAAAATGTGTCTCCTTTGTCTCTACCAGAAAATGAAAGGAATTGAAATTAAGGGAGAGATTGAAGTGTGGCACCAAGATTGAAAGGAGAAAGAGGTTGAGGGATAGTGAGGGAGGTTGGAGAAGAGAGTAAAAAGAGGCCGCTTACCGGATTTGAAATTGGTGAGATGTTTCTTGGGCTGGTTGGTCTGAGGACCTGAGGTCATAGGTGGATCTTTCTCATGGAGCAAAGAACAGGAGGACAGGGGATTGATCTCCCAAGAGAGGTCCCCCGATCCAAGTCATGGCACCAGATTTCTTGCGCGTCTGTGTGAAGAGACCACCAAACATGCTTTGTGTGAGCAACGTGGCTGTTTATTTCACCTGGGTGCAGGTGGGCTGAGTCCGAAAAGAGAGTCAGTGAAGGGAGATAAGGGTGGGGCCGTTTTATAGGATTTGGGTAGGTAAAGGAAAATTACAGTCAAAGCGGGTTTGTTCTCTGGCGGGCAGGAGTGGGGGCCGCAAGGTGCTCAGTGGGGGTGCTTTTTGAGCCAGGATGAGCCAGGAAAAGGACTTTCACAAGGTAATGTCATCAGTTAAGGCAAGGACTGGCCATTTACACTTCTTTTGTGGTGGAATGTCATCAGTCAAGGTGGGGCAGGGCATATTCACTTCTTTTGTGATTCTTGAGTTACTTCAGGCCACCTGGGAGTATACGTGCAAGTCACAGGGGATGCAATGGCTTGGCTTGGGCTCAGAGGCCTGACACATAGTATACTGAAAATTCAGAGGTCTTAAATGTTCCTCTTTGTAGCGACTGTCCTATTGTGACATTATGCTTTCTCTTAGTCTAATTCCTTCTTTTGTGCTCTGAGGGATTTAAATTGAAGTCTGAAATAGGTGAACCAAACATTCAAATAAAATCCTTCATTTGAAAATACTGGCACACTGAAAAAAACCTGGCACACACTGATATACGTGAAGCTTCAGTTTGGAGTTTTCATTTTACAATTTGTTTTGAGTATTATTATTAGCAATTTTTTGGATATCACAAAAGCAGA
This sequence comes from Homo sapiens, assembly GCF_000001405.40. NCBI lineage: Eukaryota > Metazoa > Chordata > Mammalia > Primates > Hominidae > Homo > Homo sapiens. The sequence continues at coordinate 187,676,563 of NC_000002.12, forward strand.
TTATCTACTGCAGCACTTTGATTAAGAACATCCAGAAGCAAAGCTTGTAGTCACCTCTGTATATATGTCATTTCATATTCTTTTTGTTACAATGAGGTGCTTATTCAATCCCTTGAATACAAGTTATAGAATACTTTAACATAGGCATTATTTAAAACTTCCATTATAGTCTTTTAAAGTTGCTTTACTTTAAAATATTTATTACTTAGGCATAGAAAAAAACATAGAAATAGTATTTTTTTTAAAACCTGTAAACAACTCCAGTTTCGACAATGGATAGGTCACCCAGACAGAAAATATGAAAACAACAAACTTGAACAAAGCTATAGACCAAGTAGACCTAACAGAGACATACAGAACATTCTATCCACCAGCAGCAGAATACACATTCTTTTCAAGTGCATGTGGTACATTCGAACATTCAACAGGATAGATAATGTTAGGTGCCAGAATTTAAGCCTGAAAGCATATCAAGTATTTCTTCTGATCATAATGATGAAACTAGAAATTGATAACAGGAGGAAAGCTGAAACATTCACAAATATGCGTAAATTAAACAATGTACTCCTGAACAACCAACCATTCAGTGAAAGTAGAAATCAAAAGGGAAATTAAAAAAAAAATCTTGAGACAAATAAAAATGAAAACACAACATACCAAAACTTACAGGATGCAGCAAAAGCAGTTCTAAGAGAGAAGTTTTTAGCCATAAATGCCTGCATTAAGAAAAATAAAATGATCTTAAATAAACCACCTAACTTTACATATCAAGGAACTAGTAAAAGAAAAACAAAGCCCAAAGTAAGCAGAAGCAGGTAAATAATAAAGATCTGAGCAGAAATAAATAATATAGAGGCTATGAAAACAATAGAAAAGATCAACCATAGTAAGAGCTACTTTTCTGAAATGGTAAAATTGATAAACCTTTAGACTGAAAAAAAGATTTAAATAAACCAGAAATTAAGGAGACATTACCACTAATATAACAGAAATACAAAGGATCACAAGAGAAAAAAATGACCAGTTATATGTCAAGAAGTTGAATAACCTAAAGGAAATGGATAAATTCCTAAACATGTACAACCTACCAAGATTGAATAATGAACATAAAATCTCAACAGAAAAATAACGAGTAAGGAGACTGAATCAGAATAAAAAGTCTTATGTTGAAGAAAAGCCCAGGACCTGATAAATTCATTGCTGGGGTCTGCCAAACATTTGAAGACCTAATACCAATCCTTTTCAAACTCTTTAGGAAAATTAAAGAGGAGAGAATACTTCCAAACTAATTTGATGACGCCAGCATTACCTTGATCCCAAATCCAGACAAGGACACTATGAAAAAGAAACCATAGGCCAGTGGCCTTTTCACTGATGAACATAGATACAAAAATCTTCAACAAAATACTAGCAAGCCAAATTCAACAGTTCATTAAAAAGATCATTCACCATGATTAAGTGGAATTTATGCCTGGGTTGCAAGAATAGCTCAACGTACACAAATCTGTAAATGTAATATGCTGTATTAACAGAATTAAGAACAAAAAACATAATCATTTCAATAGATGAAGATAAATCATTTGACAAAATTCAATATCCTTTCATAATAAAAATTCTCAACATTTAGGTAAGGAAGGACTATAATTCAACACAATAAAGGCTGTATATTACAAGCCCACAGCTAACATCATACTTAAAGGGGAAAGGTTGAAAGTTTTTTCTCTAAATCTAGAACAAGACAAAAATTCCCACTCTCACCACTGTTATTCAGCGTAGTACTGGAAGTCCTAGTCAGAGTAATTAGGCAAGAGAAAGAATAAAAGGATTCAGAACTGGAAAAGAAAAAGGTAAATTGTCCCTGTTTGCAGATGACATGATCTTATATATAGAAAACCCTAAGGATTCCACCAAAGGGTGTTCAAACCAGTACATCAATTCAGCAAAGTTACAGAATACATAATCAACATATGCAAATTAATAACATTTCTATATAATAAATTATTTTTGAAAACCTGATTCCTCCTTATCTCTTTCTGGAACACTTAACAAATTTATGTTGAACGTTTTCATTTTACTTTCATGCCTTTCAATTTCTCCTTAGCTAAATTTCCTTAATCTACCTTCCAGTTTACTAATTTTATCTTCCTAACCTGAGGTTAACCTAATGGATTAAAATTCTAATTCAATGAGTTAAATAATTGCAAATTCTGAATTTTTTCCCAAATTTTCCTATTATAATTTTATAGTTGTTGTTTTATTATAGTTTTAACTTATTTTCATGTCTGATTATTTAAACCTCTATAAGATTGTGTTATTAAAAATTATTTTAGCTTTATACTTCCTGTTTGCTGATTCTATGGTGAGTTATTATTCACATGCTTTATAATGTGAGAAATTATGACTTAATCGAATGAAGTTGCACCTGTGATAATTAAGTTCAGCTTTGCATGAGCTTGTTTCCCTTGGGAATAACGTCTGGCAAATACCCTAGTTTGTCAGCCTGGGACCAATTTTATGCACATTTGTCAACATCTAAGTTTGGAGACTATATGGATAATATAAATTCTAGCCCCAAGGAAGAGATCCTTTCCCTCTCATATCCCAGGCAGATTTAGAAAACGGTCCCTTTAATTTCTCCATGCCAGAGGTTTCCTTGTTTCTAGAACACTGGAGACAGCTCTTTTAAAATTATTTCCTTCATATGGCAATTGCAATTCTAGTTCTGACCTTGAATGAACTGAAGGACATTTATCCTGTTCCTGGATGGGCATGAAATACCAATCTTGTGGTCTACCAAGTAGGACAAGTACCTAAACACATTCCCATGCACCTACACACACACACACACACACACACACACACACACGGACACACACACAGACACAGACATGGACACACATGCTCTAGAGCAGTTAGAGTTCCATTTTCTAGCCAGTATTGTAGAAATTTCAGCAGATGAGCTTTCAGGTTATTTAATTTTTTAATATTTACAAAAGTATATATAAAGCCATGTAAGCTTTACTAACTGCTATGTCACTTTATCAACAGCTTTTAGTTAGTCCTATGAATGTTGTGTAAAAAAGGCATCATTTTATGTGTTGTGATTCATCCAAGTTTTTCTGATCTTTGCCAAAGATCTACTTTCTTTACATGTTTCCATCAACAGTGGAGACTTGCTCTCTTTCTGGAATGTAATGTTATTTTTTCCTTTTGCCTCATTAAAAAGGGGAAGACTGATTTGTATTCCATGTTATTTCCAAGTGACATTTCTCTAAAACTCATTTAGTGAAGTGTATGTAATTTAATTTGAGATAGCGATGTATTTGTTATTCCAAATTCTGAAAGTATGCCTTTCATTTGTTAGGTTAATTTAAAGTATCGGCAAAAAAGTGAGTAAATTTTGTATTGGTAAATTACAGGGCACAGTAAAATTATACTAGACTCATTTGGCTATTTTTGTGGGTAAAACTGATGTTTCTTTTGGTGTTACTTGAGATGTTGATGTCATACTCCTATATCTTTTCTTTAAAACTTAATGTAGTTGTTTTTTCCATTGTTCATAACAAATTACATAACAATTTGCTTATATTTAATGACTTTTGCTCATATTTGATAATTTCTATGCTATATATATGTTCTTCTGCTGACATCTTAGAGTACATCTTCATGCCTTTTACAAATATTCCTCTTCATGATATATACCATGGAATACCATGCATCCATGAAAAAGAATGAGATCATGTCCTTTGCAGGGATGAAGCTGGAGGCCGTTTTCCTTAGCAACTAACACAGGAACAGAAAACCAATGTTCTCACTTGTAAGTCAGAGCTAAATGATGAGAACACATGGACACCTAGAGGGGAACACACACTGGGGTTCTTCAGAGGGTAGTGGGTGGAAGGAGGGGGAAGACTGGGAAAAATAACTAATGGGTACTAGGCTTAATACCTGGGTGATGAAATAATCTATACAACAAACCCTCATGACACAAGTTTACCTATGTAACAGACATGCACTTGTATCCCTGAACTTAAAGAAAAATAACTTCTAGAAAGAAAAAATCTATTTTGTAGCATTTGCCTCCTTTGGTCATATAGGGATTACAGTGTTGTATTGATTTTATGAATCATTTATTCAAGGAAGTTTTACTACAAAATCAAATTTTTTAAATGCCCTTAGGCATCATACTGCCACAAAGTACATTAATTAATGACATCTCAGATTAACTGATAAAACTAATTAAAAACTTATGAAAGAATAGATTTTGCTGTTATTTCAAGGAGGCAACATTCAGAGAGGTCAATAACAGAGATGAAATTTTGATTTCTAACAGATATGTTCCTCCACAGTATGTCACATTCACTTAGATTTAGAATAACATATATATCACATTATACATATATGTGTATATACATATGTGTGTATATGTGCATCTGTGTATATGCACACTCACAGACACATATGCACACACATAGCTACATATACCTACATTTACAAATACATTCAAGTATTATTTCTGCAGCAGAGTTTATAATTACCCAGATGTTTAAGTATTTACTAGGATTTTTCTTTAAAAAGTAAGACAAAGAAAAAGGTCCTCAGAGTTTCTATGAGTTTTTTTCCAAGAGCGCTGATCTCTACCTGGGCACTTTATTTGTTAGTTTACATGTCTCTCATTTACACTAATAGTGTATATTTTATGTTCTAGTGAATACACCCCATACCTCTTCATCTCGTATTCTTTTTAGTCAGCCGTAGAATTTTAAGTAAGCCAGTCTTCCAAGATTCATCCTTTGTGAAAGAATATTCTTGGATTAGTGGTTCTGTTGACATTTTTTCTTACTCGGTGTTAATACCCATCAACTTTCCAAGTTTATACATATTTGTTACTGGCCAGGTCCAGATCCATCCCACTTGCCTGCAGCAAGTCAGTCATTGTGACATGGGTTTTGTAAAAGAGAAAATATTTTGTTCACAAGGGAACTGAGCGAGAAAGTGGGAGAATAGCTCTCAACTCCACCTCCCTAAAGATAAGGCTTAGGGACATTTATGGGTTAGGGAAGTGGGATGGTCTAAGGTACGGGGAAAAGTAATTGGCAATGGGGATAAGTGAAGTGACAAGTTCATTCTGCCCAAGTAGAATGACCATCCAAATAGTACAGACTCTCAAAATGTAGATTTAGAAAAAGATAGATCTTCATCCTAATCCGTATGTGCCAGCTCAGCTTTTAATGTGGAGTTTTTCACTGTGGGTATTAGATTCTTGCACAGCTATTAATAGCTTTATTACTTTCTGAAATAGTCGAATATGTTCTATCACTCTTAAAAACTTTTAAAAACTCTTCACCACTTACTGTTTTAAACAAACAATGGCAGGTTCCCGGAGGCGTTTCTGGCCTGGCTTCTCAGCATGTCTCTGCTCTAACCTGAATTTGATTTTCCTTTTTTCAGTCTCATGCAGTGACTGAAGGGAATAAGATTGTGACCTCCCTTGTGACACTAAATAGCCAGAGTTCATGGCATTTCATAGGACATATGTACAGAAAATGGTGGCATCAATATGATCTGGGGGTGGAGTTTTTGGTTCTCCCACCTCAAAAAGTAATCTCTTGGGCACTTGTGCAGGCCCAGTTGAAAGATCAGCGGTCTCAACCAGTTTGAGCTGTCCAGGAGCTGGCCAAAGTTTCTGAAAAACAACTGAAGCAACTGTTACCATTGTGACTTGTGAACGTTATCTATAACATAGCCAGTGAAAAGTTTCAGCATTTAGTGATGTGTCCTTCAGCTACTGCAGCCTTCAAGTTCATGAGAAAAGGGGAAAAGAAAATTAACAAGAGGCAAATGACCAAAAGCAAGCAGGTCAGGCAGACCTGATCAAAGTTAACACCTTGGTTTCCTATTCCTGTATCATTCTTTCTTCATTGTTCTATTTATGTTCAATCAATTGATATGTTTATTTTAATTTTGATCTTTATTGCAATAACCACCATGAATTGTCAGGTCTGTAACCCTCAGCAAATGACTCAAACTCTTTCTCTCAATATCTTAATTTGTAACACAGTAATAGAATCTACTTCAAAGGATTATGGTGAGAGTGTATTTTCATACATGTCAGTAATTACAGCAGTTTCCTGGCACACAGTACTCATTAAGTAATTGTAAATTATTATTATTTAATATTTATCATAAATTATTGGTAAATTTATAGCATCCATAATGTTTATTCCATTGTCATTTCTACCTGTGCAAGAGTTTTATATCTATCCTAGACGTTTCTGTTTCCAGAATCACTAACTTCATCTAGTCGCTAACCTTTTGTATAAGCTCTTACTTTATTTCTTAAAGTATTTCTTTGTCATTAGCCTTTCCTATAAACCACTTATCTGTATTATGCTCATAATTTATTTCTAAAACACCTATCTATTCATATTTTCATTCTTCAAAACTTCAACAGGATTTTCTAATGATTAACTTCATCATCATTAAGTAAGGCACACAAAGCTTTTGATTTTCTTGCATTGGAGAAATAAGTAAAATATTATGCCATTCTACAAATCTTCTTGATAAATGTTAAAAAGAAAGAAAATAGTTTTATTATTAAATAAGCACTAAACCCAGTTGTGATTGCCTCACAGGCAATCCACTAAAGAGACTGCAAGACAGAAAGAAATCTCACATTTTTGTGTGCCAGGAAGATATAATTCATTAAATACAGCTTAGTTGTTTTATCCAAAGAAAAGCAAAGCTTCTCACATCTCCAAAACAAGCAAGAAGTTACAACTTGGAGTCAGGCATTGAGGCCAAAATTCCACAGATATAGGGGGAAAAGGCCCTTTCCACCCTGAGGTCCACATTTCAAAATGATAGCCCCAAAGTCTTCATAAAAGATTCCTGAGATTCAAAACCAGCAAAAGTATTATTTAGCTTTTTTTTAAATTGACAAATACAAATTCTGTATCTTTATGGTGTACAGCATGATGTTTAGGTATATGTACATATTGTAGAATGGCTGAATCAAGCTGGTAAATACATCCATTACCTCATATAGTTATGTCTTTGTAGTGAGAACATGTGAAATATACTATCTTAGCGATTTTCAAGCACACAGTATAATCAACAATTAGTAGACAACCTGCAAAATGGGATAAAATATTTGCAAACTATATATCTGATGAAGATTTAATATCCAAAATATGTAACAGTTTTTAAAAGATTTTCTATTTCCTTTACTCTTGTCACAGTTTGTAACTTTATGTTAATTTCCTGGAAATCCCTTACACCTTCCTGAAGCACATTATGTTTGTACCTCACTTTTCCATACATTTATGCCTTCATTAATGCAATTTATTCCCCATGCTGAAATGTCCTTCTTTTCTTCATCTTTCTAGAAAACATTTAAGCATTCTTCAAGTTTCTGGCCCACGTACCACTTTGTCTATGCATTGACAAATATGAAAACATTGCTAGGAGGAAATATTTTTTAAAATACCTAAAATAGCTAAATATTTTTAAAACAGCTCCATTTATTAAACAGATATATCATAACATAACATTTGCAAATTTATTATTAAAGAGATATGTTTGATAGATTTATATAGAAAAATATTGGACATTTATGACCAAGTATGTTAATGCAAACTGATATATAATGATCAAGTTATACAGTATGTTTCTTTCTTATTCAAACCTCACTAAGCATGAAGTATGTATGCTGATATGGAAAAATAATATAAACATAGGTTGCTTGTTAAAATGCTGAAAAATCTCCATAATTTGGAGGAGTGTGAGTCATGACTGTATCAACTGTGAGCAAAAGAGCACAAACAGCTGCTTCTGATCCCTATGGTGCCATTCAATTTTCCTACTTTAGAAGCTTCATAAACACAATAAAATGAATGAGATAGGGACTCAGGGTTTCTCATTTTTCAGCAAGTCATTATAAAAACGGTCTCTACAACATATTCACAAATTATGATTAATGTGCTGCAAATTCACTTTGCAGCATAATCAGCTTCGTTTTAGCTGGAGAGGTGTTACTTGAGTCTTTTACTTTGCAGAGAGACCATATTTAAAAGTGAATAGTCATCATCTAACCCACCTTTCTTTTCAACTCTAACTAGCATCACATTAAAATCAGAAAATTGAGAAGAAACCAAGTATTTACTTTTTCAAGAACAAAATATTATTGCTTTGATAATATATTTCAGTTTTTATTGACCTATAAGAACTCTAAATGATTTGGTTTTTATCTTCATAAATATTTTCAAGTATTGGCTGGGTGTGGTGGCTCACATCTATAATCCCAGCACTTTGGGAGGCTGAGGTGGATGGATCACTTGAGGTCAGGAGTTCTAGATCAGCCTGGCTGACATGGTGAAACCCCATCTCTACTAAAAATACAAAAATTAGCGGGATGTGGGGGCATGCACCTGTAGTCCCAGCTACTCGGGAAGCTGAGACAAGAGAATCGCTTGAACCCGGGAGGCAGAGATTGCAGTGAGCCGAGATCGCACCACTGTACTCCAACCTGGGCAACAGAGCAAGACTCTGTCTAAAAATAATAAATAAATAAAAAAGCAAATATTTTCAAGTGTTGTCAAATGTCAAATGAGATATGTACTACTACGTACTATTTCACTGATGAACAAAACAAATACTTTATATTAAAACACTTTTATAGGACATTGAAACAACTGAAAATATGATTTAAAATGATACATAATATCCCAATTATGTATGCAACCACAAAATAGTCGCGTTAGAATGGATTATAAAAAACCAGGAAGAATTTTCCCAGTGGTTTGAAACCATGACCAAATACCCCACCTAAAAGAGGAATAGATAAAATGGCATCTTAACACAAACCTGAAGAGGTGTTGTGAGAGAGTCGCAAGGGTATGGTCCTGAGTCCAAAATAGGCTTCAAGCACTTGTCCTTGAAAATGTTGAATTTCATTTTTGTTGCACACACATTTTCTCGTTAGAGAAATCTTGTCTCCAAGATTTGTAGAGAACTGAGATGAGATTGAACGTATTAAGTGGTATCTCAGTTCCTGGAAAGTCTTAAGATCTCAACCAATCTTATTTCCATTTTCCTCATTGTCTAAAGCTTCTACTAAGAATATGTCTAATGTGTTGTACCTTAGCAAAAAGAAAAGGTGGAGTCATTCATGACAAGAAAAATACCTGTAAAGTGGATGATCCGTACATTGTTAATTAGTAAAACTACAACCTATCTATTTTATGTATAAATGAATGTATTTTTAAAAGCTCTGCTGTTGAAGTTACATTACGTCTTTACAGTCAGAGCAAAACATGAAGATCATAGTACCTCATTTGTAGAGTTATTGTAAAGATTAAATAATCTAATATATTTTAAAATAAAAAGAGAACAAAAGTCTAGAAGACAGTAAGCACCCCATTAAGTGGTATTTTGAATAGGTTTCTAATATTTTTGATTATGACAATATTGATGTTGATGATAAAGTTATCATAATATCTTTAACATTGACTAGATCATTTTACCACATTATTTTATAATGTGTCTACTCTTTAAGGGAGAAAAAAATTGATTATGTATAAACATGTATACATTAAAGTATCTCAGTAGTTTGCCACTATAGTCTATCTTTCTTTTTTATTTTAATGTGAATATAAACAATCTCCCTCTTACCAAAGATCAGACTTTATAGTTGGTTGAGTTAGTCTCAGTACTAAAACTTAGGGGCAAACATCCTAATTATAACATTAAATGGAGAAAAAATCAAGTGTATATATACAATACCAGTTTTATGCTGTTGGCAAATTATTGATGTTTAATTGACTATTGGGAGAAAATGCTACTTATGCAACTGCACTACTAGTGATTCCAGCAAAACCAAATGAGTCTGCATGTCGTATTAACCCCTCCAAATGAAACCCTGAGCCTATTAGCTTTTCTCTTTCTCCCATGTACCTTTCATCATATATAAAAGGCATCTCCATGGAAACAAAAAGCATTTCCCTTAGAAGACAAGAGGTGAGTGATTCCTGCCTAGTCCTATCATTATTCTTCAGAGATTACTTCATTTTATTACAAGTGAAAAACCTGCAACAGCAATCTGTACTCTGCAATTAAGAACAGGGCAGTTTAATCCTTGTAATAAGAATGGACCAGCAGCAGCTAAGAACAATTTTATTAACTTCCTAGAAGATTTGTGGCTCTACAACATTAAAGAAGGCCTCACAGTAAACTAATTTCCAGAGGGGAGAAGCAGTATATTTCAACCACGCATGACAGGTCAGAAAAGCCCCCTCGAGGAGTATATGAAATATTCGGTCTTCTTAAGCACCGATCAACAAAATGACACCATATCATATCTGTGTTTGCTGCAGGCTGACACTCTACCTCCTCTTATTTAAGACTGATTTTTAAGAATAACAAAAAAATGCTGGAAATGATTTATGGCTTCGTGCATAAACTTTATGTATTGAGAGCCACAAATCTCTCCTAAAAACGCATGAAGTTTTGGCACATTCCTAATTTCATTATTGTTTTTACATAATCTTGTGATAAATTTTATAGAATAAACATATACGGTTTATAATAACATCAAATATTACATTATTTTATCTGTATGTTTTCAAAATCATACAAAAATGTCCATGACTTCACATCCTCACCCAAACATTTAAATAATTTGATTTTTTATAAGTAATTTCCTATTTTTTTGCCTTTATTTTTTCATTAAAATGTATGGATAGGTGTGCGACATATCTTTTGCAGCAGATGTGAGAAGTTTAAAACATCCTATTAGAAGGAAACCCAGAAAAATGATAAATGATGGTGCTTCACACACAGAGCTATCACAAACTTCACAGAGATACTAGACAAATGGAGTTTTGAAAAAATGTAAATGTCTTTAAGAGTGGAGAAGAAGCGTGTATGTGCTTGTATGTGTGTTTTCATATATATAGTGTGTATGTACATAAATGTATATATGTGTTGGAATATTGGTATATAATAATTATGTTCTTTTCTCTGTATTTATGTAACATGATTAGTGTCAATCAAAATTAGAAAGAAAATACAAAGAAAAATGTTTTGGTTTTGTCTAGTGCAGACGTTAAAAATTTAACCTATTACATTTTCTCATTTGGTAAAATGAGTTAATTATGTTGCATTTTCTTTTCCTTTTATTCAGACTCTCGATACTGTGGTTAATATATTTTTTTTCCAAAGTTCAAAGTTCAAAGGTCAAGAAATATGCAAAAAGAAAATCAAGGATTATAAGCAAATGAAGAAACAGAGGTTACTACAACTCTCTGTCTTGCTTTAGTGATGGAACCATAAATTTTAGCTGAATGGTGGGCTACCAATAATAAAGACTAGAATTCCAGATTTTATTGCAGCAGGTGGAGGACATGTCACTAATTCTGACTAATGTTAAATGAAATGGTAAATGCATGACCTTGTAATGAAGGTACCCTCACAATGGATAGAACACAGCTTTGGTTATGATTCCTATGGACCAGGTAGATTTGAGTGATGCCCCCCAAATGGGCAGAGTAATAAATTAAAAGGAGACTGAATTCCTGACATATTGATATTCACTATATCGCAGGTCACTGTTATTCTGATTCTTTGCTGCAGCAGCTGCACTTGTGTTCTCATTAATGTAGAACATAACTTTATATCTGAGTGCAAATATTCATTCATTCACTCAATTAGCCAGTACCTGTTGAAAGCCAACTATATGCCAGCAGATTCTTATAATCTGGTAATTATACTCTTGGTTGATAAGCCGATATAAGCAAATATGGTATAAATATTATGAATTTAAAGGCAGACTGTAATAAAGAGAAACTCTTCATGCAGGTGTCTTCTCAAGTTGGACCACGAGAAAATTGGAGTTTTGAGAAGGTGCAAATGCCTTGAAGAGTAGAGAAATAAAAATGCTAAATAATAATATATGAACTAGATAATAACATATGAAGAGAATAAAAAAGTATTGAAAATATTATGCTGTCAGAAAGGATAGTCACAAGCGCAAAATAAATGATGGGCAATCAATGCCTCAAATTAATGAAAATAACTTTCCTGTGATATGAGAGACATTCAGAAATTGACATGCATATTTATATATGTACATGAATAAATATAAAAGGTAAATTATGAGACAACAGATGTATAATAAGCCAATTTAAATATATTGTATTACTTTATAGTATTTAATAAAAATTATAAAGCTATCAGAAAATATAAAATGTGCTCTTTGATGAATGCATAGAAAATTCAAATTAATTGGACAAGGGTGGACAGATATAACTGTTGTTTTTATACCAAACATGAAATTTAACATCTAAGGGAGAAATACAACTATACAAAAATGTAATATACTATTCCAAGATAACACTTGTATACATATATATCTTTGATATCACTATGTATTTATTTAGTGTTCAATTTTAACTCTGATCAATATTTACAATACTTTATTTTGATGAAAATAGTCCTTTGAACATTTAGCATAAATTGTATATATTTTCTCTGTATATCTGCTTTCATTTTTTGGAAAATAGGTTTTGACTGTTATATAATGAAGAGATGCCTGAATACTTTATGAATCAATTCATAGCATGTATAAAATGAAATAAAGTATTGACATCTTTCCAAGAAGCAAAATTAACCTTGAGGGAAATTCCGATTCATTTAGAAATCAGACATTGTGAAATTATATCATAATTCCTTCTACAGTAACTACCCTAAAAACCCAAGTAATTTTAGTTTGTGCTTTTAAATCTTTTAATTTAAAAAGATCTTTTTGCAAATTTGTCTCACTCCTGATGTTATGAATTGACTCTTTTATTTCATTACCATAGTCCAGTCAAAACCTTAAAGCAGTTATACACAGCTATGAAATCTAATGGTTTCTTATTAACCTTATTTTAATCCATGCTCTTGATAAGAAGCAATACTTATTCAGAAAGAATTAAAGGATACAGTAAATGTTCAGCCAATGTTTGTTGAATGAGTCATTTTAATGCATGTGTCATGTCTAAACACTGAACTCCATTTAACTGTACTCAGTGAATTGCTATATTGTTGAGATGGATCTTATCTTTACAGAGAATATGAGCAAAATCTTTTATAGGCAGTTATTAATTTGCATTAAATTAGGAATATATTTGAATGTATAGAAACCAATTTAAGACTTCTGGGTGTATACTTAAACATAGAATTATAAAATGTATCTTATAAAGTTGATCTTATTGAAAGCCATTTCTTTCATTTGATCAGTAGATTTCATCCTCTTCTTCCTACTCAAGGATGTTAGTTCTATAATTAACCTCTCTTACATCATAAATTTCTCCTTCTCTATTGGACCATACCCCATTGGCATATAAACGAAAAATGTTAATTATTTTATTTTTTAAAAACACCATAAAATTTTGTTGCACTTCATTGTTTCTCTTTGCAGGAAAACCCGAAAGACTTCTTTACATTTTCATGCTCTAATTCCTCTCCCCCTATTTCTCTCTTCAATCACCAATAAAGGTGTTTGCTCTTTCCAACCCGCTGAAATTCATTTAGTTTACAGTGTACAGTAATTTATAAAAGTTTCTTCGCTTGGCTTCTAGGAAACTCCACTTCATTGCTTTTCATTATACTACACTAGTTCACTGGGATTTTTTTTTCCCCTGATTCTTTCTCTTCTCTCAGCACACAACATTGGAGTGATCCAGGCCTGTCATTGGCCCTTTTCTGTTCTCTAACTACACTCTCTGTTTTGCTGGTCTTACTCAATCTTATAATATTGTATACTATCTCTAATAGCAATTATTCCCACATTTTCAGTCCAGACCATTTCCTGTAGCTCCAGTCTTATATATCCAATTGCATATTTGATAAAACTGATAGGCAAATGGAACATACTATATCTCAAACCAAATAAGCCTGATACCTCCCTACACTGAATCTGTTCCTACCCAGAGCCGGCCCCATCTCATTGATGGCAATCCATTCCACAGGTTACTCAGGACGAAAACCTCACCATCATTCTTTTGTCTTTTTTTTTTTTTTTTTTTTTCTTGACGCAGTCTGGCTACAGTTGCCCAGGCTGGAGTGCAGTGGCATGGTATCTCAGCTCACTGCAACTTCCACCTCCCGAGTTCAAACAATTCTCCTGCCTCAGCCTCCTGAATAGCTGGGATTACAGGAGTGTGCCTGGCTAAGTTTTGTAACTTTAGTAGAGATGGGGTTTCACCATGTTGGCCAGGCTGGTCTCGAACTCCTGATCTCAGGTGATCCGCCCGCATCGGCATCCCAAACTGTGGGGATTACAAGCGTCAGTCACCACACCCGGCCATCACCATCATCCTTGACTTCTTCCCTAATATTCCACATCCAATCTGTCATGACATTGCATTTTTCTCCCAATATACCTAAAATTGGTTCTGATATACCTAAAATTGGATTGGACCCCTCTTTTACGACTTCCGCTTTGTTTACGCCACTACCGTCCCTTACTTCACTTAGTTCACTATCTTCCTAACTGGTCCCCCTGCTTCCCAAGTTGCCTATCTACTTTGTATGATCAACACAACATTCATTGCTGAATCTGATAAAATGTATATTAGGCAATTTATCCCTCTGCTTTAAAATCTTCCAGGGACTTCCTGTTTGATTTACTACAAACGTTGAGGCCGTGTTAGGCTGTCATGAGTTGGTCTCTTGCTTCCTTTTCTGTCTCATCTTTTATTGCTCCTCTATTGCCCCGTCTTCTCTAGTCCTTTGCTTTTGCCTCCTTAAAATATACCAAAACACCAGGCACCACCATATGAACTCATTGTTCAAGATCACCTGCTCATTGAGCCTTACCCTTACCATACTATGCAAAATTGTTAATGAACACCCCTCCCTCCATCATATGTTTGTCACCTTTTATGGTCCCTGCTTTATTTACTGTATTTTTTCTAGTAACACTTATTAACACCCAACATACTTTTATCTATCATGCTTATAGTTTAAAGCCAGTCACTCCTAGCTAACATCCTAATTTCCTACAAGCTAGAATATGTGCCTGTTTTGTTAACTGATGAATTCTAAGTACTTAGAACAGTGTATGGCTCATATTGAACACTCAATAAATATTAGTTGATTGGATAAATATTATGTTAAATCACTTCAGTTTAGATTGTATAGAAATAAAATTTGTATTGCATTCAATGATTACTATCATTTGAATATTGTCAGTGGGGCATCATAATAAATGGACTTTCATTTTGTGTATGTTAGCTTGGCAACAACGTTGTTGAAAAGCTTGTACCTAAAATACTTGAAATTTCTATTTGATGCCACTTATAGAGAGATTATAGAAAATCTAACGAGACTATTATAAGCTTCTTTAGCACTGAAAGAAATATCTTACTTCCATCAGAGGGATTTAGGTGATCCAGATTCTAACCCTAGGTCATATACAGGATCATTGTATAACCTCAGGCAAAGTACTTGAGAGTGAACATCTTTTGCTTTCGAAATAGAGAAAATAATTGCCCTGAAATTTTTATGTATAGTTGAAAGTACCAAGAGAGATTATGTTAGGGAAAATGCATTATAAACATATATAAATGTTCTATGCATGTAATTACTCAAATTATATAAATTATACATAAATATGTATAATGTTTCAGATTTTGACTTTGGATTCTGATGTATCAAAAGACTTCTCTAAATTCAAATTTGTTCTGTAGCATGAAACAATAATAAACTATGAAGACTTTAATGATTTATAAAAGTTTAGAAACATTTTCAAATGCATTAATTTAATTTAAAAATTCCGTTCTCAAGAGAGATTTATTCTAGCTAAGAAACAAATGAAGCATATTTATCGTTAAAATCCTTCCAAATGTGTTTCTAATACAAAAGGAAATGAGTTTTTTTCACTGACATTATAGTACAGTAATGGAAAGAACAAACTTTAATGCAAATTGTGTTCAGCTCTGATTGCAACAATTATACATTATCTTAAGAATAGTTTGTAGTAGATGATCAATGTTCAGATTATCAAGGTAAAATGTAAAGGTTTGTAATAATTATTGTATAAATGATATCTATATAATAACAGTAATTTATTGTTTTATTTATAGCATATGTATTTCTATGTAAGAATAGTTATATTTATAATCATTATAGCATAATCCACACTATTCAAAACTCAAAATTTAATTTTAGAATAATTTTATGCTAACATTGAGATTTATACAAATTACAAAATGTTTTTGAATATGTGATACTCTTACATTTTCAAAACTATTGATTAAAAAAAGGTATATTAATCCTATTTCAAGGATGAAACTTTTAGCAACATCACACAACAGCCAAGCTTACTGACTTTATATTCCTATATTCTATATCATGGCTCATTATTATTTATGTCTTTTCTTATAAGATTTGTATATGGGTTTTATATGTGTGTATCTCCAACCTATATAATTTAGAAAATGTTTGTACATATAGCAAAAAGACCAAGACAGTTGTTAATTACCATAAGTTAATTTACTAACCTATCCAGATAAAATCACTAAATGTTTTATCTCTACTTTTATAGATTAGAATGAATATGCCGCTAGTATAATATATTAAGAAAATAGGAAACATAATTAACTGAAAATAAATTGTAAGCTTTAACATTTTAAAAAGTCAAAATAGCAGAATATGGTGGAAAAAATACATATTTGTCACCAGATCAATTTGAATTTTAATAATGGCTGTGACCATTAGCAAGTTTCAAACTTTTCTAAGCCTTGAATTCCTCATGTGCAAAATGGGAAAAACTACCTTATATACCCTTACATTCTTGGAAAGAACAAATGAAAATTCTGATAAATATGTGTAAATTAGATGTAACAGTGTGCTACCAAAAATATGATTGCAATAATATTTTGATAACTAGTAATCTATATATGTATATGAATATGTTATGTATGAAATGAAACTCATTCCATATGATATATGTTATGTATTAAATGTTATATATATGTAAACACATACATATGTAGGAGCAGATAGAAGAATATACACATACACAATTTTCCTACATCCATGCTGTCTGAATAATAGCTTTAAAATTTGAAATATATATAAATTGTCAAAAATAGCATTTAACACATTTTTATCCAAGAACACTTATTTCCTTGAAAATTTGAGTTTGGCATATATAACTTTCAACCAACTCATATTTACTAAACATTCAATTTCAAAAATGTTAATAGATATTATATCTTATACTTTATTTAACAAGCACTTTCATTTTACCCCCAGAAAAATCCTGTGTGCAACATGCTACAAGTGTCATAGTTATATGTCACCAAACAGGTTTATAATATAGGACAATTTGAAACAGATTATTCAAAAATTTTGTTTACTTTTAATTGACAAATGAAAATTGGGTACAATGTGATACTTTGATACCCATTGTATCTGTGATAATTTGATACTGTGATAATTAAATCAATCTAATATATCTAACATCTCACATACTTACCATTTTTTTTGTGATGAGAACATTTAAAATCTACTCTGTCAGCAATTTTCCAGTATACAGTACATTATTAACTATCATCACCATGCTGTACACTAGATCTCCAGAACGTATTTCTCCTATATAACTGAAACTGCTTACCCTTTGATGAACAACTCCACATTACCGCCCTCTTCCTACCCACGCCAGCCCTTGGTAACCAGCATTCTACTCTCTACTTCTGTGAGTTTGATTTTTTAGATTCCACGTGTAAATGACATCATTTGGTAAATACACAAAAATTTGTCAGTAATTTTTCTTTTCTGTGTCTGGCTAATTTCACTTAGCATATTTTTTCCAGTTTCATCCATGCAAATGATGATATTTTCTTCTTTTTTAAAGGCTGAATAAGTATTTCATTGTGTGTGTATACCACATTTTCTTTATCCATTCATCTATTGATGGACATTCAGCTTGATTCCATATCTTGATCATTGTTTATAATGGTGCAATGAACATGGAAGTGCAGGCATCTCTTTGACATGCTGATTTCATTTCCTTTGGCTATATACCCAGAAGTGGAATTGCTAGGTCACATGGTTGTTCTATTTTATATTTTTGGGAAACATCCATACTATTTTTCATCATGGCTGTACTAATTTACATACTCACCAACAATGTAAAAATATTTACTTTTCTCCATATCCTCACTAACCCTTGGTATCTCTTGTCCTTTTGGTAAAATCTTTTCTAACAGATGTGACATTATATCCCATTGTGCTTTTAATTTACATTATCCTGATGATTCATGATGTTAAGCATTTGGTAATATATGTGCTGATCATTTCTATGTTTTCTTTTAAGAAATGTCTATTGTGGTCCTTGGCCCATTTTAAAGTCAGGCTATTTGTTTTCCTGCTATGAGCTGTTTGACTTATATATTTTGTATATCAACTCCTTCAGATGTATGGTTTGCAAATATTTTATTCCATTCCATATGTTTTCTCTTCACTCTGTAAATTGCTTCCTTTTCTGTGCAGAAGCTTTATAGTTTGAGGCAATCTCATTTGTCTGTTTTTACTTTTATTGCCTGTGCTTTTGGGGTCATATCTAAAAAATATTTGCAAACACAAATGTCAAGAGACTTTTCTCAATGAAAGGTTATTTTTTAAAAAAATAAACAGTGTGTTTTATGCTACTATAGATTAAAAATAATATTTAAATGCAAGCAAAAGATGAACTAAGCTTAATAACATACTGCAGATGAATTTTCTTAGTATTTGATAAACTCAGAGTTGCAATTAATTAGATAGGCATAAAAGTCATCATTAGGAATTTTATATGAAATATTTTAACACAAAACATTCACCTTGCATTCACCTCCATCTATTTTACTGTTCTCTTATAGGCTGTGCTAGGAAAAATGATATAGGATCACTGAAAAATATTTGGTCATCAAACATGCCCCATGTTCTCCAGTGCAACGTATCCAATAAAGCAGAGAAGGGAGAGTAAGATATTTAAAAAGTTTTTTTATCTGAAACAAATATTCATTTTTTGAAAAGTTAAGGCATTTAAAAAGTTATGTCATTCAATATCCACATAAACAGCAAATGATTAATCAGATTTTTATTGAAAAAAATGTAGGTTTTAGTGATTTTAAGAGTAACATGCCATATAAATCAATTTTATGCATGTTTCAAATGATTTTTACATAAAAACATTATATGTAGAATTTATTATATAGCGTTAGAACAAGCCTTTATATTGATGTTAGAAATTGATGTGTACACATAAAAATGATATACATGAAGTAAAGACATAAATGTGGGCTTTAGGCAATGATTGACATCATAGAAGAATCTAGTAGGAGTTTAAGAAGCTACAGTATCTTTCATTTACTAATTCTTTTTAAAGAAGTTCTCAAAAACTACAAAAGGAAAGACTAATGCAGGTATCTCATCTTCAGCATGTTTCTAAACACCATTGTGACAATATTCAATTTCTAATATTTATCACTTATACTACTTCTACATCCAGAAAGAAATTGAGACTGATTACCATTATAAATCTATTACAAAGTAGAAGTAGATACAAAAACCAAAAATTTAGTGATTTGATTTTTATAAATTTTATAAAAGTAAAAATAACAGTATTTTTTCACTAACAGATAATGCCTAAAATAATTACTAAAATTATATATATCTGATATTATATTTATGTTAATTCATTGTAATTCCATAATTTTGTTTGCTCAGAAAACTTACTGAATATAGCACATTGTCAACTCCATAATAAAAACTGTTAATTTTCACTTCAAGCACCATTGTGCTTGTTCTTTCATTAATGTGATGGCTATACATATTAATCTTACGATACATAAAACCAATGCAGGAATTAATAGACAAAACCCTTATTATCTTTATACGTATTATAAAATAACATATTGTTAGAGTGGGCAGATAGCCAGAAATGAGCAGGCTAGGGAGCCCCCTGGGAAAAGAAGTCTTAGAGGTGCTACCCACTGATAGTCAGAGCTGCACATTAACAGTAAGCAAAAGTGACAATGGTAATATGGTTTGGCTCTGCGTTCCCATCCAAATCTCATCTTGAATCAATAATCCCCACGTGTCAAGGGCGGGACCAGGTGGAAATATGGGTGACTCACGGGGGTAATTTCCGCCATGCTGTTCTTGTGATAGTGAGTTCTCACAAGATCTGATGGTTTTATAAGGGGCTTCCTCCTTCGCTGGGCACTCACTCTATCCTGCTGTCCTGTGAAAAGGTGCTTTCTGTGATGACTAAGTTTCGTGAGGCCTCCCCAGCAGTGTAGAACTGTGAGTCAATTAAAACTCTTTTCTTTATAAATTACCCAGTCTTGGGTATTTCTTCATAGCAGTGTGAGAATTGACTAATATAGCAAATTGGTACCAGAGAGTGGGGTGCTGCTGTAAAGATACTCAAAAACATGGAAGCCACTTTGAAACTGGGTAATAGGCAGAGATTGAAACAGTTTGGAGGACTCAGAAGAAGACAGGAAAAGGTAGGAAAGTTTGGAACACCCTAGAGACTTGTTGAATGGCTTTGACCAAAATGCTGACAGTGATATAGACAATGAAGTCAAGGCTGAGGTGGTCTCAGATAGAGATGAGGAACTTGTTAGAAACTAGAGTAAAGGCCACTGTTGCTATGCAAAGAGACTGGCGACATTTTTGCCCCTGCCCTAGAAATCTGTGGAGGTTTGAACTTCAGAGAGATGATTTAGGATACCTGTCAAAGAAGTTTCTAACTGGCAAAGTGTTCAATAGGAAACAGAGCATAAAAGTTTGGAAAATTTTCAACCTGATGTTGTGATTGAAAAAAAAAAAATTCTGAGGAGAAATTCAAGCCTGCTGCAGAAATTTGCATAAGTAATAAGGAACCAAATGCTAATGACCAAGACAATGGGTAAAATGTCTCCAGAGCACGGCAGAGACCTTTATAGCAGCCCCTCCCATCACAGACCTGGAGGCCTAGGAGGGAAAAATAGTTTCTGGGTCAGGACCAGGCCTGCTGCTCTATGCAGCCTCAGAACATGGTGCACTGCATCCTAGCTGCTTCAGCTCCATCCGTGGCTAAAAAGGGCCAACATACAGCTTAGGCCATTGCTTCAGAGGGTGCAAGCCCCAAGCCTTGGCAGCTTCCATGTGGTGTTGAGCCTGTGGGTGCACGGAAGTCAAGAATTGAGGTTTGGGAACCTCCACCTAGATTTCAGAGGATGTATAGAAACACCTGGATGTCCAGGCAGACGTTGGCTGCAGATGTGAAGCCATCCTGAAGAACCTCTGCTAGGGCAGTGCAGAAAGGAAATGGGGGGTTGGAGTCCCCACTAGGACATTGCCTAGTGGATCTGTGAGAAGAGGGCCAACATCCTCCTAGCCCCAGAATGGTAGATCCACTGACAGCTTGCACTGTATGCCTGGAAAGGCTGCAGACACTCAACACCAGCCCATGAAAGTAGCTGGGAGGGGGGCTGTACCTTGCAAAGCCACAGGGGTGGAGCTGCCTAAGGCTATGGGAGCCCACCTTTTGCCTCAGTGTAACCTGGATGTGAGATATGGAATCAAAGAGGATCATTTTGGAACTTTTAAGATTTGCTGAATGCCTTGTTGGATTTCGGACTTACATGGGTCCTGTAGCCCATTTGTTTTGGCCAATTTCTCCCATTTGAAACAAGTGTATTTACCCAATGCCTGTACCTCCACTGTATCTAGGAAGAATCTAACTTGCTTTTGATTTTACAAGCTCATAGGTGGAAGGCACTTGCCTTGTCTCAGATGAGATTTTGGACTTGGAATTTTGGGTTAATGCTGGAATGAGTTAAGACTTTGGGGAACTGTTGGAAGGGCATGATTGTGTTTTGAAATGTGAGGGTATGAGATTTGTGAAGGGCCATGGACAGAATGATAGGGTTTGGCTCTGTGTCCCCATACAAATCTCACCTTGAATCTTAATAATCCCCATGTTGCAAGGGCAGGACCACGTGGAGATAACTGAATCGTGGGGGTGGTTTCCACCATGTTGTTCTCATGATCATAATGAGTTCTCACAAGATCTGATGGTTTTATAAGGGGCTTCCCTCTCTGCTCACCACTCACTCTGTCCTCCTGCCCTGTGAAGAGATGCCTTCCTCTATGATTGTTAAGTTTCCTGAGGCCTCCTCTGCAATGCAGAGCTGTGAGTAAATTAAACCTCTTTCTTCATAAATTACCTAGTTTTGGGTATTTCTTCATAGCAGTTTGAGAACTGAATGAAATAAATGGCTACACTTGCTACTTCTGGCCTTGTGGTTTGGCTCCTCCAGCCCTAAAAGGAATTTATCCAGCCTCAGCTGGAGATAACCATGCTAGAGATTTTCCCTGCTGAAGAGCATGGACATTCCTCCAAGAACTCACTCTAGAGTAGCCTTTTGCTTATTATAATAGTAAAAAAAAAAATCCCTGAGTGGAGGTTTTTTTGTTTTTGTTTTTTGTTTTTGACAGAATTTTGCTCTTGTTGCCCAGGCTGGAGTACAGTGGCACAATCTCGACTCACTACAATGTCCACCTCCCCTCCCGGGTTCAAATGATTCTCCTGACTCAGCCTCCTGAGTAGCTGGGATTACAGGCACGCACCACCACGCCCAGCTAATTTTTTGTAATTTTAGTAGAGACGGGGTTTCATCATGTTGTCCAGGCTGGTCTCAAACTCCCAACCTCAGGTGATTCACCCACCTAGGCCTCTCAAAGTACAGGGATTATAGGCATGAGCCACTGTGCCTGGCCAGGTTGAGCTTTTAAATGCTAATAAGACATGCAACATGTGTACTACTAGCATTTACAACCATGGAGCATGTGTGTTCAAAGGGAACTCAAACATGTTTGCAAATAACATCCCCTCATGCCCCTTCAAAACTAATGATGTAAGATTCTCATAAAGAGAGTCCCCTAGCACTAGCTGCTGCTGGCTCATTCTTTCAAGCAGATTCTGTCCCATCTCTCAGAGTGTACTGTCTCTTTAAATAAACACTACTGCTACTATTTTTGCAAACTGAACCAGCCTGGAGCTGTTTTTTACTTCACTCTAGGAACGTACTTTATCTTCCTTCAACAAAACCTGCTACTTAACTCTTGTTGCATCTCTTGGTTGAATTTTTTCTTCCAAGTTAGATAAGACCTGAGGATTCCCACAGTTCCTGGTAACAATATCACAAGGAAATAGTTAAAATGCAGACTATACATCTCTTTTCCTTTTTCTTCATTTAATAGTTAGGTATTTGAGCAAACTTATTCTCTGTAATCCACAGTTTCCTCATCTCCAAAATCATATTAATGATAGCACTTGCCTTATATGAAAGCCCTTAGTCTGATACTTAGTACAGTATAGCAACTTAATCCAATTAATATAGATTGGCTGTGTCCCCACCCAAATCTCATCTTGGATTGTAGCTCCAATAATCCTCATGTGTCATGGGAGGGACCCAATAGGAGGTAACTGAATCATGAGGGCAAGTTTTCCCATGCTTTTCTCGTGATAGTGAATATATCTCATGAGATCTGATGATTTTATGAAGGGAAATTCCCCTGCACATGCTCTCTTGCCTGCTGCCATGTAAGACATAACTTTGCTCCTCCTTCACCTTCTGCCATGATTGTGAGGCCACTCCAGCCATGTGGAACTGTGAGTCCATTAAATCTCTTCGTCTTTATAAATTACCCAGTCTCAGGTATTTCTTCATAGCAGTAAGAAAATGGGCTAATACACCAATCCTTCCTTCCTTCAACAGGAATTTTGATACCTTCACATAAGATTACCACACAGGATAAAATTGTATAATATAGGGGATAGCATTTGTAAACTCTAAATTAGTACATACTCTTTAGAAATTATGATTATTTAGAATGCTTAAAACTTCCAGTGTTTACTTGAGAAAAGTTAATATTTATTGATTCTTCAGCATGTGCCAAAGGCTTTTGAATACTTTGCATGCTTTATCTCATTTAAACCCCTAACAACCTATTGGGATAGATGTTATTAGTTATCTTTTACAGAAGAGGAAACTGTGGCTCAAATGTTGTTTAACTTGCTCAAGGTCATGTATCTAGTAAGCAGTTAAGTCACTGTTAAAATTCAGGCACTATGACTGCAGAGTCTGTCTTCCTAACAAATGTGCCATGCTACCTAAAGAATCATGGCATTTCCTGTCATTAACTGCTATGATAATGGGCACTTTTGTTATTCCAATAAGCTTAGGCAATAAATATACTGAGCGTCACATAGGCAAGGCAGTATTTAATAAGATCAATGAAATTGTTATGTAATAAATCAGAATGAAAATTTATATTTCATTATATATACTAGAAAGGCATATGTAATTGAAACTTGATTAGCTATAATATATACAGTGAGTCTTAACATCATCAACAGGTTTTGGACACTGTGACATTAAGTGAAAAAAGATTTAACAGAACCAATTTTATCATAAGCTACTCAATATAAACAACAGTCAAATTCCTACATCATATTTCTGGTCACAAATCATTGCCAAACTTTAAACTAGGGCTCAAAACATCTGTAGTATCAAACATTTAAATAAATGTGAGCTATACATACGTTTAAGAAAGATTACCAAGCACAAGTAAGATTACTGTTCACATGCTTATTTCAGTTCAGAATTGCAGCTCAGTGTGCAAGGTAGAAATCAGCTGTGGACAGGATGCCTTCCCATTACAGGGTTTACACATGCACACCAACACTCATGCAAACTGGGAACATTAGACACATGAATGAACCTAACGTGCACATCTTTGGGATGTGAGAGGAAATCAGAGTACCTGGATGAAACTCATGCAGACATGGGAAGAACATGCAAACTCCACACACTTCCAGCTCCAAACAGAAGAGATTATATCCAAAGGGCATTGAACAAAATGATGTTATTCAACTTGCTGTAATAGCTTTAATGAAGATTCTCATTTCATATTATTAAATAATATAAAATACTTAGCATTAGTAAAATACATCAAGTTGTGATAAAAAAGAGCAGGTAAACACAAATTTTAATACAAATTACTTAGGTTAAATACATATATTTGTAAATTTTGTTCTGCTATTGGAAGTTTCACACTTTATTGAATTGGAAGAATTTATTTCACCTTAAACCATACTGAAACAAATATCCGGTGATTAATAAGTCAATAAACAAATAGCCATATTCTGCACATAAATAGAAACTGAACATTTGTACTTTAAAATGCAATTCTATCAAATTGCTTCACTAATGTGAAATACAAAGGAAAATATGCAATTAAGTCATTTTTACAACTGTCATAAATTTTAATGAATAGTTTTCAAAGTACACTCCATTTTATTTTAATGTTTAAAAGAATTTTATTTCTTCATTGTACACAGCATTCTTGCTTCAATAATTCTGTATTTTCCTTTTGAAAAAGCAAATTCTGTTACACTTTCATATTTGATTTCTGTTCATTCTATCTTATTTTTACAAATTAACCCCACATTCTTTCATAAACCTTAATTATGCTACTTCTGTAAAATCCTTTATAATAATTTGAATCAAATCAGTATAAAAGATTACCAAGGGATATAGTCATCAGTCTATTTAAAGTCAACATGAAGGAAAGAATTCCAAGAGCAGTAAGACAAAATCATTAGGTAACCTACAAAGAAAAACCTATTAGACTAACAACCAACTTTTCAGCATAAACCTTGGATGCCAGAAAGGATTAGGGACCTATCTTCGACTTCCTTAAACAACAACTGTGGGCCAAGAATTTGACATCCTGCAAAACTAAGTTTCACAAATGAAGGAGAAATAAAGTCATTTCCAAATACTGAGGGAATTTGTCACTACCAAACATGCACTATAAGAAATGCTAAAAGGAGTTCTAAACCTCAAAATCAAAAGGCCAATATGCACCAAAGTAGAACCTCTTGAAAACTAAAAACTCACAGAGTCTGTAAAACAATAACACAATAAAACCAAAACTATCTAGGTAACAATTAACATGATGAAGAGAAGAGTATCTCACATCTCAATATTAATGGTGAATGTAAATGGCCTAAGTGCTCCACTTAAAAGAAATAGAATGGCAGAATGAATAAAAGGTCATGATTCAAATATCTGCTGTCTTCAATAGACTCACCTAACACAGAAGTATTCATATAAACTCAGGGTAAAAGAGTAAAAAAAGGTATTCCACACAAATGGAAACCTAAAGCAAGCAGGAGTAACAATTCTTGTATCTGACAAAACAGACTTCAAAGCAACAATGGTGAAAAAAACAAAACTGATCACTATATAATGATAAAAGGATCAATTCACCAAGAAGAATCACAATCCTAAATTTATACACATCAAACACTAGAGTTCCTAGATTCATAAAAAGATTACTGCTAGACCTAAGAAATGAGATAGACAGGAAAACAATAATAGTGGGAGACTTCAATACACACCTGACAGCACTAGACAAATCTTTAAGACATAAAATAAATTACAGAGAAACAATGGACTTAAACGATATGCTAGAACAAATGAACTTAATGAATATTTACAGAACATTCTACCCAAGGTTTGCAAAATATACATTCTTCTCATCCACACATAGAACATTCTCCAAGATAGACCATATGAAAGGCCACAAAACAAGAGTCGATACATTTTAAAAAACTGAAATAATGTCTAGTATCTTCTCATACCACAGTGGAATAAAACTAGAAATCAACTCCAAAAGGAACCCTCAAAACTATACAAATACAAAGACATTAAATAATCTGCTCCTGAATGATGTCTGAGTTAACAATGAAATCAAGATGAAAATTTTAAAAATCTTTGAATTGAATAATGATAATAATGACAATTTATCAAACCTCTGAGATACAGCAGGAGCAGTGCTAAGAAAAAAGTTTACAGCACTAAATGCCTACAACCAAAAGTCTGACAGAGTACAAATTGACAACCTAATGTCACAACTCAAGAAAGTGGAGGAACAAGAACAAAATAAACCCAAAGCTAGAAGAAGAAAAGAAATAACAAAGATCAGAGCAGAATGAAATGAAATTCCAAAAAGAGGATACAATCAATGAAATAAAAAACTTGTTTTTTTTGAAAAAAATAAACAAAATAGACAATTGCTAGATTAACCAAGAAGAGATAAGATAGAAATAAGCTCAATTTAAAATGAAACTAGAGACATTACAACCAACACAACAGAAATACAAAAGATCATTTGATACCACTATGGACACTTTTATGCACACAAACTAGAAAATCTAGAGGAGATTGACAATTTCCTGGAAATATACAACCCACCTAGATTAAATGAGGAAGAAACAGAAAACTTGGACAGACCAATAGCAAGTAGTGAGACTGAATCAGTAATTTTAAAATTGCCGACAACAACAAAAAAGCCCAAGACCAGATAGATTCACAGCTGAATTCTACCAGACACTCAAAGAATAATTGTACCAATCCTACTGAAATTATTCCAAAAGGCTGAAAAAAAGGGAATCCTCCATAAATCATTCTATAAAGTTAGAATCACTTTGATATCAAAACCAGGGAAGGACATAACAAAAAAGAAAACTACAGACCAATTTTTCTGATAAACGTAGACACAAAAATTCTCAAGAAAATAGTAGTTAATGAAATCCAACAGCACATCAAAAAGCTAATTCATCATAATCAAGTAGGTTTCATTCCAGGGATGTAGGAATGGATTAACATATGCAAGTCAATAAATGTGATACATCACATAAACAGAATTAAAAACAAAAACCATATGATCATCTCAATAGATACAGAAAAAGCAGTTGACAAAATCCAGCATAACTTTATGATAAAAACTCTCAACAAATTAGGCATATAAGGGACTGACTTCAAAATAATAAAAGCCATATATGACAAACCCACAGCCAACATCATATTGAATGGGGAAAAGTTCAAAGCATTTCCCCTGAGAACAGAAACAAGACAAGGATGCTAACTATTACCACTCCTATTCACGTAATGCTGGAAATACAAGCTAGAGCAATTAGGCAAAAGAAAGAAAGAAAGGGTATCCAAATTGGAAAAGAGGAAGTCAAACTGTAGCTGTTTGCAGATGATATGATTGTATACTTAGAAAATCCTAAAAACTCCTCCAAAAGACTTTTAGATTTGATAAATGAATTAAATAAAGTCTCAGGTTACAAGATCAATGTGAACAAACACCAACAAAAACCAAGCTGAGAATCAAATCAAGAACACAATACCTTTTGCAACAGCTGAAAAAAAAAACAAAAACTAAAACTAAAAGTACACTTAACCAAGCAGGTGACAGACCTCCTCAAGGACAATTACAAAACACTGCTGAAAGATATCATGAATGACACAAACAAATGGAAACACATCCTATGCTCATGGACTGGAAGAATTGATATTGTGAAAATGACCAAACTCTCAAAGCAATCTACAGATTCAATGCAATTCCCAGAAAAATACCAACATAATTTTTAACAGAATTAGAAAAAAAATACTAAAATTCATATGGAATCAAAAAACAGCCCAAATGTCCAAAGCAATCCTAAGCAAAAGGAAGAAATCTGGAGGCACCATATAACTAGACTTCAAATGACACTATAAGGCTGTAGTTACCAAAACAGTATGGTACTGCTATAAAAATAGACCAGTGGAACAGGATACAGAACCCAGAAATAAAGCCAAATATGTACAGTGAATTGATCTTTGACAAGACATACAAAAACATAAATTGGGGAATGGATACCCTATTTAATAAATGGTGCTGGGAAAACTAGCAAGCCACATGTAGAATGAAACTGGATCCCTGTCTCTCATCTTATACAAAAATTAACTTGAGATGGATCAAAGCCTTAACTATAAGACCTGAAACTAAAAGTTATGGAAAACGTCAGAAAAACTCTTCTAGACTTCCGCCCAGGCAAAGAATTAATGACAAAGACCCCAAAAGCAAATGCAATAAAAACAAAAATAAATGAATGGGACCAAATTAAACTAAAAAGCTTCTGCATAACAATTGCAGTGATCAAGAGAAAACAAAAAAAAAGGGAGAAAATATTTGAAAAGTATACATCTGACAAAGGACTAGTATCCACAATCTACAATGAACTAAAAAAAAAAAAACAACAACAACAAAAAAGAGAAAAGCAAATAATCCCATTAAAAAGTCTGCAAAGGATATAAATAAACATTTCTCAAAAGAAGATTTACAAATGGCCAACAAACATATGAAAAAATGTTCAACATCACTAATCATCAGAAAAGTGAAAATTAAAGGCACAATGAGATACCACCTTACTCCTGCAAGAATGGACATTATTACAAAATCCAAAAACAGGCGGGCCACAGTGACTCATGCCTGTAATCTCAGCACTTTGGGAGGCCAAGGTGGGCTGATCACTTGAGCTCAGGAGTTTGAGATCAGCCTGGGCAACATGGCAAAACACCATCTCTACAAAAAATACAAAAAAAAAAAAAAATCAGCCAGGTGTGGTGGTGTGCACCTGTGGTCCCAGCTACTCCAGAGGCTGAGGCCAGAGGATCGTTTGAGTCCAGGAGGTCGAGGCTGCAGTGAGCCATGATCATGCCACTGCACTCTATTTTGGGTGAGAGAGTGAGAACTTGCCTCAAAAAGAAAAAAAGAAAAGTCAAGAAACAGTAGACACTGGTGTGGATATGGGAGAAAGGTAACATTTACACACTACTGATAGGAATATAAATTAGTGCAACTTCTATGGAAACAGTACAGCAATTCCTTATAGAGCTAAAAGTCTGATCTACCATCGACCCATCAGTCCCACTGCTGGGTACCCACTCAAAGGAAAGGAAGTCATTACAGGAAAAAGACACTTGCACACGTATGTTTATAGCAGCACAATTCACAATTATTGTTTAAGTGAAGAATCCTTATAATAATTCCTGTTCATGCGTAGCTGGTTTACATTATTATTATTACATTATTATTTTGGCAGGCAAACTTATAAAAGAGCATACATATACTGGGGATCATCATGTTTGTGTGGGTTAGTCAGTTTAAATTTTCAAGAAACACACATGATGAGATTATTTCAGTTAATGGGGAGTTATTTTAAGGAGAGACCAGATAATAAAGATAATAAAAAGAAAACATTCTAAACATTACAAGCCCTAGGAAGAAGTGGTGTCCTACTCTTCCACATGCAGGTTATGATTCAGAGAGTAGCTTTGATGACCCATTTACAGTTCTGAGAATTGAGCCAAGATCCAATGCTTCTCCTTCTCTAGTCAATTCTTCATTCAATAATACAACAGTAAAAACAGTCTACTATTTACAGAATTTTAATGATTGTGGCTATAATGCAAAACCAGGTGCATTATACACAGCATTTTGTTCTATCAGAAAGAAACCATGGATAAAGGCGTATAAGTATGCCAGACATTTTCAATCTTGCTAGAAAAGGGTGTGAAAACAGAAGAAGTGATATAACGATTGTAGTAGTACTGTCTAATACTCTTCATCTAGGCTCTTACTTCTTCAACTGTCCCCTAAATGCTAATGTGCACCAGGGTTCTCTACTTGGCTTGCTCACATTATTCACCCTATCTGCATGACTACAGAAATTACATAGCTTATATTACCATCTGATATGGTTTGTATCTGTGTCTCCACCCAAATCTCATGTTCATATGTAATTCCCAATGTTGGAGGTGGAGCATGGTGGGAGGTGATTGGATCATGAGGGTGATTTCTCAGGAATGGTTCAACACCATCCCCTTGGTACTGTTGGTCATGATGGTGAGTGAGCTCTCATGAGATGCTGTTGAAAAGTGTATGGTACCTCCCCCAAACTCTTTTGCTCATACTTTGGCCCTGTGATATGTGTGCTCCCCCTTGTCCTCTGCCATAATTGTATGTTAACTGAGGACTCTCCAGAAGATAAGCAGATACCAGCAATCATGCTTCCTGTACAGCCTGCAGAACTGTGAACCAATTAAACCTATTTTCTTTATAAACTACCCAGTCTCAGGTATTTCTTT
Organism: Homo sapiens; assembly: GCF_000001405.40. Taxonomy (NCBI): domain Eukaryota; kingdom Metazoa; phylum Chordata; class Mammalia; order Primates; family Hominidae; genus Homo; species Homo sapiens. The sequence goes on from NC_000002.12 coordinate 187,707,636, forward strand.
ATAGTAATGTGAGAACGAACTAATAGACCAACTCTGGCAATTCTGGCAATTCAGAAATATATATTATCAAATTAGACTTTGACAGAATTTTTGTACTATATATAAAACTTCTTACTGAATATCTGTGCCTGGATATTTCAGCATGTTAATTTAACATATTTGGACTTGAACTAATTTTTTCTCAAACCAAATTCTTCCTCCTCTTATATCCTCACTATTGATACAATCATCACAGCCTCAAATCTGAACAATGTCACAGACGTATTCTTCTCCTTCACTTGGGATTAATTCCTAAGTCCTATGAGTTTACTGTCTCTGGCTTTCCAGTCTCTCTGTACTATTGCTGTTGTCATAAGTGGGCCCTATTTCATCTCTTATTTAGATTATTGAGAGGCAATTAATATAGTTCTTAGGAACATGAGTTCTGTGGCTAGACAACTGGGTTTGATTTCCAGCTATACTATTTACTTATTCCGTAGCCTTCACGTCTCTGTTTCTTAGTTTCCTAGACTATCAAAGACAAAGAATAATCATAGTACCTATCTCACAGGTTTACTCTGAGGAGTTAATGTGAATACATGTAAAGTGTTTAGAACATTGCCTTGACAGTTGAATAATGGCTTCATTAATTTTCATTTTGATTTTGCATTTCTCTTTTTGAATCCATCTCCAATCTGTCCAATTTTTCTTCCACACTGATGCACTAATTATTAACCCAAAACCAAAATTTGGCCTTCCCAAAGCCCTTTAGTTGATCTTCATTACTTGTACAACAATATTCTAAGCCTATTGTATGGCATAAAATGCCCTTCATGCTATGGCTCATGCCTGCGAATTCAGCATCAACTGTCAGTAACTGACACTTTAGTATAATAATATAACAAGGCTTTCCTATACATATCTTGCTGTGTCTTACCATGTGCTTTTCTTTCCATGTGCTTCACTTTCTTCTCCCATCCCTCTGTCAAATTTCCTCTTAAGCTCTCTAATAAATCAGATTGATTTATGTGCTATCCCTTCAACTATTCTTTATTCATTTCTTCCTTTGATTTTGTGTTCTCCCTTTCCTGAATGTGTATCTAAAAAAATTAAAAGGCTTATTTTAGGACTTCCTAGATTAACTGATGTTTTTAGTTATTCCTTGAATTATGGTTTTATATTAAGACAGGGATCTGTAAAACTAGGCAATTTCTGTTTTTATGTTCTCGTTGTGCTATAATCAGTAGGAAGTTATTGAGGGGTTTGGAACAGCAAAGATACTGTAGTAAAATGTATCCATCAGGAAAATATGAGATAGATTAGAGCAGAGATTCCCAAACTCAATTCAAGGTTCCCTTCATGTTTCAGTAATTTTTTATAGCCCTCTTAGGCCAAAAACTACCTAACGATTCTATTAAGTAGACAGAAAAGTAATAGCCACAGAAGAGTAATAGCCATCAACAAATATCACCATGTTTCCCTTGAACATTTAAAATATCCCAAGGGGCATCTCAGTAAGTTCAATGTGGTGCCTCAATACAACTTGCTTATATTTCTTCACTACAAGACTAAAAGTATGTAAATAGGAAGACTTGCAACAGGAAGGTCATTTGGAACAGGAACTGACAAATTATGACCCATAGGCCCAATCTGATCTACTACCTGTTTTTGTAAACAAAGTTTTATTGAGACACATGTATTGTTTATGTACTGTTTTTAAGTTAGAACAGCACAGCTGAGTAGTTGAGACAGAGACCATATGGCAACCTGAAAATATTTTCTCTCTAACCCTTTACAGAAAAAAGTTTTCCGGCTCCCGATTTAGAAGGTTATTTCAATGTCAAACTGTGTTGTGGTAAAAGTATGAACCAAGGAGGCAGCCCTGGAAATGCAATGTTATTGTACTTAATTCACAAACATTTGAACATCTATGTTATGCCAGACTCTTTGGGAAAGCAATAAGAGATTTGTTATAAAGTTTTAATCCCATAGATCAAAATTTGAAATCATAGAAATTCCGGTCTAATATTTTTTCTTAAGCTCTCTTATTAAAGCATCTCAGGAAATTATATTTCCACCAAGGGTCAATTCCTTAATAATCACAATCCTTTCTATAGTCGATTGGCAATTAAGATAATTTTGAAATTTGTTCCTCTCATATATTAAAAGCCACAGCAAAGTTGATGTACTTACTGATATCTGCAAGAAAAAAGATTACACTCATCTTCACTGAGATTAAACAGCAAGGTTAATTACCAATATAGTTTTAAGTAATGGACAATAGAAACCCAGTTCAAAATAGTCTAATGGAGCAGCCTGTCATGATATAATATTAACTTAGGAGAAATTTTCTCTCTTTTCCATTAGGAAGTGTGCTTCTTTAACATATTCAGGCATAATTGAAATCATCCCTTTTCTATTTTAAAGATAACTTTAGAGATTGAAGATAACAGAATTAGCCCATAGAGCTGTCCTTAATTCTTACCCAATAAGTGAGTATCGTTTATCACTCATGGCCCATTCACCCTCACTTCAGGGTTTCAAAAGTGCTTTGCAAATAATGTATCCAAACTGACAGAAATAATCTTAAGGGTTTTTCCCATTATTTGTATAGGGCCAAGCTGATACCTGAGTAAAATATAAATATAAATTAATAGGCATGGTAGATTAAGTTTGAATGTGAACCAATCTACTTTATATCACAATATGCATGCGTGAGAGAAAGAGATTAGAGGCAGATAGAAAAATACTTCTATATGTACTTTGCTATGAAAGTAAATTGAATAATAAAATTTATAATTTTGGGCTATAAATCCAATTAAAATTATGTATTTTCAAAAACTCAACAATTTTAACTTATGAAATCAATGACTTTTGTAACAGCATTTGCAGTAAATTATTACTTAATAGGTTTATATAGAGTTTTTTATTGTGTGAAAGATTTTCATGGCTTGTTTATTGGTAGAATGTTTCTTTTAAAAAAGCTTAAAACCTTTTATTTTTCATAAACCAAACAGTAATTTCATTTCTAAAACTTATCAATGGGTTTTGAAGTGATCTTTCTTGCCATTTTCTCATCTTTTCCATCTCTCCAAACACTGAGATATTCTAAATAAATTGTACTTTATTCTAAATAAATTGTACTTTATTCTAAATAAATTGTACCTTTCAGTATCCTTATAATAATTCCTGTTCACACATAGCTTGTTTACATTATGATTTTGGCAGGCAAACTTATAAAACAGAATACATATACTGGGGATCATCATGTTTGTGTGGGTTACTCAGTTTAAATTTTCAAGAAACATGCATGATGAGATTATTTCAGTTAATGGGGAGTTATTTTAGGAGACACCAGATAATAAAGATAAAAAGAACACTTAGTACACTATCTCTTAGCTGAAGTTGTTTTTTCACCCACTAGCAGCCACTTTGTCATCTGCAGTGTCTTTTCAACATCCCTAAAGCCCTCTCAGCTCTGGCTGCCTTTCCACAAACAGTGGGGGAATTCCACTACTACCCTCTTTTCCTCCTTCACCAATGCCACTGCTTTTGACTAGTATCACAAAAAAAATATCAGTTGCACTAGTGATTAAACAAACCTGTTACTTCTCATAGCTTTGATTTCCCTAAAATAGCTATAATGCAAATCATGTCCAGTTTCTTAGGAGCAATGAATCCAGCCATGACTGGGATTTTTTTAATGAGTCATCAATCCTACTTTATTGGTTCAAAAACCTGAAACTTTGTACATAGTGAAGAGTCTCCTATTTGCTTTTAAAGCAAAATTTATCTGTAGAGCATGGATGCCAGGAAATGCTTCTCTTCTCTTTTCTATCCTCTTTGAGTATAAAGCATATCTTGGGATAATGGATGCTGAATTAGCTGTATACTGGTTAAAAATCTTTAAGGGCATAACAAAAGTTGTATATATAAATGAAATTCTCAGATGAGGAGCAGCTGTTATTTATGTTTAAGTTGCTTTGGCACTTCAACTGTATATTTTTATCTCATTTAATTATAGCTTTGAAAATAAAACCATCATCAAATAAAAAAAAATCAGTTGCCTCTCTCTTTGCCAAAGATACTATAGGTTTCAGATATTATGCAGATTATTATTTTTTAACCCAGAATACATTTCTAAGAAGATATTATAGTCCTTGCAGTTCAAGAAATCAGTAATTTATTACAACTGTTCACATGCTAGGACATTTTTTGAACATAACCTGAGTATCATACTATTTTGTACTAATGGTGAATTATTTATTCAACATTATAACATACCTTTGCAACTAATGTTTCATTGTGGCTGGGTAAGGTGGTTCATGCCTGTAATTCCAGCACTTCAGAAGGCCAAGGTGGCAATATTGCTTGAGGATCTTTGGAGACTAGCCTGGGCAATATATTGAGACCAATCTCTACAAAAAGGTTTTTGTTGTTGTTGTTGTTGTTGTTTTGTTTTTTTGTTTGTTTGTTTTTACTTAGCTGGGCATGGTGGTTTATGCCTATAGTCCTAACTACCGGGAGGCTGAGATGGGAGAATCACTTGAGCCCAGGAGATCAAGGCTGCAGTGAACTATGATCATGCCACTGCACTCCAGCCTGGGTGAGCAAGACTTTGTCTCTAAAAAAAGATAAAAGAAAACATGTTTTTTATTGCTACAAACTACATTATTTAGTTTTAAAAAATGAGAGCAGCTAATACTGAAACTATTATTTAATCAAATAACAGAGTATATTTTCAACAAATCGCCTTGAAAATTGAGAACATCAAGCTTCAAATTAGTCAGTTATCTTAGGTATACATTTTGCATTTGGATATGAGAAATACTTTTCAGTTAGATTTCATGATTGTGAATCAAAAGTTTTAATATAATAATGGTTTCTACAACATAAGACAAAGTGAAAGCATCATGGAACAAAAATTGCTTAATTTACAAAATTATATTTCATCTTTATGCTAAATCTTGTGTTTCCTTTAATATATGACTTATAATTATGGTCCCTTTAGTGCAGTTCAAGTAAGACATTGACAAATTGAAGATACATTAAAATTATTTTTCAGAAAGAAAAAATATCACCTCTTATCGTATAAAGTATATTGAAATTCCAGTTTTTACTTGAATTCTAAGCCAATACATAAAGGTGACTGGCTTTGCATTTTTAATTATACTTACCGCAGCAGACTTATTTGCCAAGCTTTCCAGTCACAACTTTTCACAACCATAGAATTCTAGACTTTCTTTTGAGAGAAGTCTTCTCATTCTGTATTTGGATAGAATGGAAAGAGTTGTCAATCAACTTGTTTTGACAAAATCACACTCAAAGTTTGTTTTCATAATACAACTTTTGAGTTTTCTCTTCCTTCCCATTTTCTCTGATTTCACCCTGCTTTTAATCCTAATCCCTTTTTTGTTGAAGTAGTATGTTTAGCACACGCACACATACACACAATCACACAAGCTTAACACTGCTATTTTAAACGATTATAAATGCATTGTTCACCCAGTACTTTTCAGAGTAATGGAGTGTGCTGATGGAGAAGTTGTCTTTAGAACCAAGGAAATGGCTTTGATTTTAATAACAAAGTAATACTATTTGTACTGGAACAGCAGACATCGCTGCAGCTTAAAGTACAGCCAGTACTAATTCACTGCTCATTATTTATTTTCTAGAAGAAAAACTGATTTCACAGGTCTGATCCATCCACTTTAAGGATGGATTACTTCCACTTTTTGACTTATATTTTATTTGCAGGGATCTTCAATAATGATCTAAGAAAAAAATAGCATCGTAGTTGTCAGAAAGTATAAATCTGTATGTCATTTAACAAAGAGCTTCTCAGTGCCTATTCTCAGCTTCAGTCTAGAGATCCTGTTCTGGGCCCTGAACAGTTAAACAAGAGTGACATGAAGACATATGGGAGGTGGTGCTTCCCGAGACTCCCAAACTTTGTTAGTCTCCAGTATGTTGATCTCCTCAAAAATAAATATATTTCTTTGGTAACAAATGCCCTTTTATTTGAAAAATAATTGATTTTGCTTTTTCTTAGTGGAAGAACTAAAATTACAGTGAATAAAATATCAGTCATCTATTTATTTTCTTTGCATAATCTCTTTATCATTATGAGCTATCTAACATGGTGAGATTAATTTTCTTACATTTTACATATGTCATGCTGTTATCTTCTTTGAGGACTTTTGATGACTTCCCTTTCATCACAAGATAATGTAAAAACCCTGGACACAGCATTTATGACTTTAAAATACAACTTCAACTCTAAAACCATAACTTCAGACATTTTCTCCTCAAACATCATTAAGACAAAACTGTTACTGCTTTCCTTCCTTCCCAAACCTTTTATAAAAATTCTAATTGGTTCCAATTTGATCAACTCTCTTCCTCTTTTTATATGTTTGCACTTTTTCCCTCTTCCCATTTTTTTAAGTCGTTTCTTTTTCCTGTAACGTATTCCATCTTCTTCTGAAGTCACCACAATTCCAACTAATCCTTCAGGGCACAACTTGTCTCATCTTCTTTATGAAACCCTCCTAGACTACAAAACAAAGCAAGTCTTCTTTCTTCTGTTTCCACCATAATCACACTTCCCAGTCATTTAAGAGCAATACGTGTGTCCAAAACCAACATTTGGGAAGGTGTAGCTTTACAGTATAAGAAGTCATAATGTTAATACAAAATATTGATATAACAATATTTATCCAGCAGCAATTTGTGGAGCAATATACTTTGTGTGGAGAACTTTTCTAAATGTTGGGTATAAAAGAATGATCAAAGAAGACCAAAAGCCCTGTTTTTGTGGAACTCATGTTCTGGTAAAGTGGATAATCCAAACATACATTATGTAAGTAAATTTCATAATATATTAGAACTTTTAGGGAAGAAATATATGATGCTTAATTTTATGTGTCAACTTGATTGGACCACGGGTGCCCAACTTTGGCCAAATATTATTCTAGATGTGTCTATATGGGGTGTTTCTAGCAGAAGTTTACATTTGAATCTGTAGACTGAGTAAAATAGATTGCCCTCTCCAATGTGGATGGATCACATCCAATAAATTAACGACTTTTATCAACCAAAATAACTAAGTAAGAGAGAACTCCTCCTACCTGACTGCCTTGAGATAGAACATTGGTCTTTTCCTCCCTTCAAATCTGAACTAAAAAAAAAAAAATCAGCTTTTCTTAGGTTTCAAGACTGCTGACCTCTGGACTGGAACAGACACCATCAGCTCTTTTTGTTCTCAGACCTTTGGACTCATGCTGGAACTACACCATTGGCTTTCCTTGGTCTCCAGCTTGCCTACTGCAGGTCTTAAAATTTCTCAGGCTCTATAATCATATGAGCCAATTCTTTATAATAAATATGTATTTATTACATCTATATATCTATACTTATATCTATATCTTGTTGATTCTGTTTCTCTGGAGAACCCTGACTTATATGGAGGTTAACCTAGGGCACTGGGAACCAGAAAGATAAAAGATAGATTGGGTCAGGTCATGGAAGGCCTTTAATTTACTTCTGTTAGGGGGTAGAAACATATCACAAGTTTCTAAGCAGCAGTTTTACAGGAAAAAAAATGTTTTAGGAAAATCCTGAGCAAGAGTGGACTAGCATAAGAAAAACTGAGGTAGGGTGGTGATGAAGATGTGACCAGAGCAAATTCAGTGAAAATGGAAATGAGGATAACAGGGCCTGACAAGGCATTGGCTATAGAAGATCAAAAAATAATTCCAGTTACTGGTTTTAATCCTAGGTGAGGGTAAAGATAGTATTGCTGAGATTCGGAGACTGAAAGGATTTATTTTCTGGTCACAACCCTGCTGACCAAAACAGGATCTGGTCTAGACAGGTTAAAGTGAAGAAACTGGCAAGAACCAGCAGATGGCCATAAAAGTGATCCCTAGTTTCCCTCATTGCTCATTAGTATAAGGCATTCCCACCAGTGTCATGGCAGTTTACAATTGCCACCCCTTTCTTAGAAAGTTTTAAATAACTTGCCCCTCAATTTACATAGCTTTGCAAGGAGCAGTACTGTTTAGTAAAAATATTTCTGTCTAACACCACTGGCTCATCCTTGAGTTCTTTCTTGGGTGAAGCCAAGAACCCTCCTAGGCTAAGCCCTAATTTGTAGACTCATCTGTTCTGCATCACTGTTATTCAGTGAAACCAGATGACTGAGAAAAATCTCAGAACAGAGGGAATAGATGAGTCCATATTTGCATATAGGCTGCAAACTGGGAGCCTATAAACCAAGCCCAACCCATCAATTTTTTTTTAATTCATTTGAAAGGCTTTCTAAAATTCTAATTTCTTTTATCAATTCAAAAAAAAGTGACTCTATTTTTTAAAAACCTATACTTTTGACATTTTCACATAACATAGGAAGAATGGCTCTTCTGTAATTTAACTATTAGTGGATTTGAGGATCAGTCACCTTTGTTAGACAAGTTGTGAATACTGTCGCTTGCTACAGGCCCCTCTCCAAGACTATTACTGAAACTGAGGCAGAGTCAGGAGCTACCTTACAATTTTTTGCACTTTGTAAATATTTCAACTACAGCTGTGGATTGTGCGTATACCTTAGATTGTGAGTCCGAAAGACAGAGCCAGGGTTTTTACAAGCCACCTTAAATTGTGTTTGTTATGTGATTCAATTAAAGCTTTAACGGCTTTAAAACAGGAAGATTAACTAAACCCAGTCCTGACTGATTTCAAATCCCAGGTATTTAGCAGGTGTCTTATCTTTTTTGAGCCTCAGATTCTGCATGGATAAAATGTTGTAATGGTACTACCTTCTCAGAGGGTGGTTATGAGGGTTTTATGGGCTATTGTGCAAAAGATGCTCAACACATTTTTTCAAACAATGACCAGGAAATGCTAGCCATAATGTCAGGACAGTCAAATCTAACATGTTACTACCTTGTAAAAACAAATGGAAGTAGCAAAGTTATAGTCTCGTAAACTGCGAGTCCTTCATGGGCTTACTTCTTGAGCAAGTTTTCTTTTGTCCATAAACACAAGCAATAAATAATTTTACTCATTTAAAGATAGAATAGTGTTCCTATGCTAAATCCATATCCATCTCATGAAAGCTTCTATATTTAATGGAATGTGGCATTTTAAAGCACTATACCACGCAACACTGTAGAAAATTTTGTCACAAAATTAGTCGGCTTGTTTATATCAGTTTATATATATTTATGGTGAATGCCAGGGACTTTTTGCCTGCTATTTCATTTTATTTGCATACTATGAGTGCAATTTAAAAATTCACATTGTGTTTTCAGCAAATAAATAACAGATGTGGAAATTCAAGATGAATGTTTTATAGGCAATAAACAGCACTCATGTACACATAAAGTACATTATGTTATTTTATATACAATAAGAACATTTGAAAAAAATGCTCATATCACCAGGAATAAAACAGATATTACAATATGTATTGAAATACTATTTTAATATTTGCATGAAATAATTGTTGTCTAATAAAAATTTTGCAATACAGGGGGTTAAAAGAATTTAGAACATCTTAAAACTTGAATAAAAATCATTGTTTCTAATGAACTTTAATTTAATGAAAAGTCCTTTTCCACTTTAGGCTAACTTCTTTTTTAAGTTGAAGTAAGAATATGGTTGATTTTCCTTCTCTAATGCATTCCTTTCTCTTGATTACCAAATAAAAGTTAGATGCTCTACATCTGGAAATGAAATTCCATTGTTTGCAAACTATCTTATTTTCAGACTTGACTTTAACAGAACATTCAAAGAGATTGTTTAAAAAAAGGTGCTGACACTGAATCGCAAGGCAATTTAATCTGAGTAGAGGTAGCTGAATTAGACTCATTAGCTTCAACTGTAATTGAACAGCCACCTTGGGAAAGCTTGTCCAAGAGAAAATGAGTATAGCTAAATTTAAGGCAAGGTGTAAGAGAATATCTGAAAGTGTAATGTTATGCGAAGTATTTCAGTATGGCCTATTAGTCACACCTAGAAGCCTGTTTTAAAAGTCTAGACAGACAATAAAAATAACTACAAGAGAAAAGAGAGATTCTGGATGCCTCTGGGAATTTCTTTTAGTGGAGAAATGATTTAAACTAACCATAAACCACCTCTTCCACTTGCAAATAACTTTAGGATGGGTTAATTTTAGTGGAGAAATCACATTTAAATATTTTCTTAAAATGTGGCCAGATTACTCCTCAGAGCCTTTATTGCTTTACTTTGCTGTAGAACAAGGTACATTAAATATATATATATATTCTTGGTCTTGCATTTCTTGCAGCCTTAATCTACTATTATTATATTAGAGTACTCTTGGTATAGTGTTATGTTATATGGGAGAGAAGGAACATTCTATAATCTTCTCATTAAACTCAGTCTTTTAGTGCACCTATACCTTGGGCTGTGAGCTTTACAAGTGTTCCTCAAATGGTATAACTTTTTTTTTCCCTCCCAGAGTCTCCTATTTTCTTTCCTAGTGTAGGGGTCTAATCAATTTACTTGAAATCTTCACTCCTGTTGACTGTGATTTCCCCTGATTGTGGATAGGAAGGCTCTGGAGGGGACTTAAGTCAGAGGAATTCCATTTTCTCAGGATAAAGTTCTGGCTAATTCTTTTCCTCTGGAAAGTAGGCTTTTGTTATGGAGAAGGATCTAGGATCATTTCAGAGTGATAACTCTCTCTCTCTGCTAGAGCCACAGTGAGAGATTCGAGATCTTAACTGTGAGAACTAGTGGCTTTCTGAGAAAACAGTCCAGAAAAGTATGGGCTTCCCCCAAGATTGCAGCTCAGAAGTTTTTTATTCTCACACTAGTCCTCATCAGTCTATTGCATTCATCAAAGTTAGCATTTAAGTATTTATATTAGCTTCTGGCTCTAGCAGTTTCTGCTCCAGGTAAGCAGGTCTTGGCTGTGCCTCTTTGGACTCATCTGCCTCTCCAAATTTCAGGGTTGCAGGCTGCCTTATGATGTTAGCTATTTGGGATACAAGATAAGTCATTGATTTTCACTTTTTCCAGCTATTCTTGTGAGTAGGTAAGTAAAGACTTCGAGCTTTACATTTTGGAAGTGAAACCAGAAGTAACCCCATCTATTTTAAAATGTTCATTATGATATTTTTCATACTAATTATTGTGGCTCCTTGATCTAGCTTCATATACTAATATTCTCTCAAATTACTAATTTCTTCTCTTCTTTTTGAGCACACTACTTATTATTCCTATTTTAAATTCTTAACTCCTTCTATTTACTTTTATGAAACCCATATTTGTTCATTGTCATACTTCCATAGCAATGATATAAAACATGTGTGTAATATTTTTTTATCCATAAGCTATTCTTACTTCCAAGTGTTCCCAAAGGTGAAGCTGGGTATGCTTATCAGGAGAAGATACTGAAACCCAGACTCTGATTTGTACCGTATCTTTGAGAAAAGTTGAGGGTTTTGCCTGAGGAAAGCGTACTCTAGATACTGAAGTACTCAAATTCCTACCACCATATCTTCTAGCTCCATCCCTCAGAGAACTTTGCAACTCCATCCCTCAGAATACTTCCTTAAACTTCAAAACATACACCAGTTTATGGCCAGGTGTGGTGGTTCACACTTGTAATCCCAGCACTTTGGAGTCCGAGGTGGGCAGATCACCTGAGGTCAGGAGTTCGAGACCAGCCTGGCCAACATGGTGAAACTCTGTCTCTACTAAAAATACAAAAATTAGCCCAGTGCGGTGGCAGATGCCTATAGTCCCAGCTACTAGGGAGGCTGAGGCAGTAGAATCTCTTGAACCTGGGAGGCAGAGGTTGCACTGAGCCGGGATCTTGCAACTGCACTCCAGCCTGGGCGACACAGTGAGACTCTGTCTCAAAAAAAAAAAAAAAAGAAAGAAAAAGTATACCAGTTCAAGGTTATAATCTTGATTTTAATTCACATCTTTGAGAGTAGAGAATGGAGAGAAGAAGAAAGTAGAAACTTTCAAGTTTAGCTGGTCTACCTGAACCAGATTCCCGCCCTGGCCAAGCTTTGGTGCTGTCTTGTTGTTACCCTAACAAAACCTGGGTGGCCTCAGCTGCAGCAACTGTTTTTTGTTATGTACTGGCAGGGTCAAACAACAATATGCCAAAGTTAATGTGGGAGGAACAAAAGAAATGCTCAAAAGCTGCACCCAACATAGCCCCTTATGCAGAGCCTCTTGATTTAGACTGCAAATTCTCCCTTATCACTACTGACTTATTGCCGGAAGGGTTTCTCAACATTTGATGTTAATTTTTCAGAATGCTGCTTTTTTCTCCTTTTTCGTCTTTTCTCTAGAGTTAAGCTTTAAACAGGGGCCAACAGCATAGGCTAGTTCCATTTTTATTCTACATTCAATTTAAATTCATTGAAATGGAAACCAGACCCTTTGTCTAGACTGCCTCAAAATGGAGCTTTGCCTCTTTTGCCAGTGCTGATTTATTTCTAAAACATTGCTACTTAAACAATATCTGTCTTGAATAACATGATTCTATATTAAGGTGAAGTTACCTTGTGGAAGTCTTTTTTCCTGAAATATAGAGTACTCTAATGGTCAAGGCTCTATCAAATATTATTTGTATAAATTCAATAAATCTCTGAAATGAAGAAAGAAAATATGAAAGGATGATGCTCATCCTATAAACTACTGTAAAAACTTTTGTCTTCAGCATCATGTGGTATTTTCTTTTTTAAAATTTTATTTTAGGTTCAGGAGTATGTGTGTGTAAGTTATATACATAAATTGTGTGTCACAGAGGTTTTGTGTAGAGATTATTTTGTCACCTAGGTAATAAGTGTAGTACCCAACAGGTAGTTTTTTTGATAATCTCCCTCCTGTCACTCTTAACCCTGAAGTAGGCCCCAGTGTCTGTTTTTTTCTTATTTGTGTCCACATGTTCTCAATGTTTAGCTCCAACTTATAAGGCAGAACATGTTGTATTTATTTATTTCTTCTTGTGTTAGCTAGCTTAGAATAATGGCCTCCAGTTCCATACATTGCTGCAAAGGATGTGATCTGATTCTTTTTCATGGCTGTTTAGTATTCCATGGTTTAAATGTACCACATCCTCTTTACTCAGTCTACTACTGATGGGTCTTTAGGTCGATTCCGTGTCTTTGCTATTGTGAATAGTGCTTCAGTGAACAGGTATGTGCATGTGTCTTTACCTTAGAACAATTTATAATCCTTTGAGTATATACCCAATTATGGTACTGCTGGGTTGAATGGTACTACTGTTTTAAGTTCTTTGAGAAATCACCAAACTGCTTTCCACAATTGCTACACTAATGTACATTCCCATCAGCAGCGTATAAGCATTCCCTTTTCTCCACAACCTCACCAACATATGTTATTTTTTGACTTTAGTAATAGCCATTCTGATTGCTGTGAGATATGTATGTGTATGTGTATATATACATGTATATGTATATGTATATGTACATGTATATGTTTTAAGGAAGGGGTCCAGTTTCAATCTTCTGCATATGACTAACCAGTTATCCCTGCACCATTTATTGAATAAAGGGTCCTTTCCACATTGCTTGTTTTTGTCAACTTTATCAAAGATCAGATTGTTGTGTGTGGCTTTATTTATGGGCTCTCTATTCTGTGCCATTGGCCTATGTGTCTGTTTTTTTTTTGACAGTGTCATGCTGTTTTGGTTACTGTAGCATTGTAGTATAGTTTGAAGTCAGGTAATGTGATCCCTCCAGCTTTGTTCTTTTTGCTGAGAATTGCATTGGCTATCTGGGCTCTTTTTTTTGGTTCCACATAAATTTTAAAATAGGTTTCTTTTTGCTAATTCTGTGAAGAATGTTATTGGTAGTTTGATAGAAATAGCATTGAATCTATAAATTGCTTTGGACAGTATGGCCATTTTAAAAATATTGATTTTTCCTATCCATGAGCATCAAATTTTTTTTTTAATTTTTTTGTGTTATTTCTGATTTCTTATTTTTGTGGATATTGTGAATAGGATTTTGTTTTTGACTTGGCTCTCAGCTTGGACATTGTTTATGTATAGAAGTAATAATAATTTTTGTACATTGATTGTGTATCCTGAAACTGGGGAAGCTGTTTAACAAATCTAGGCATTTTGGGGCAGAAACTATTGGATTTTCTGGGTATATAATCATATCTTCTGCAAACAGATAGTTTGACTTTGTCTCTTCCTATTTGGATGCCTTTTATTCTTTCTCTTGAGTTATTGTCCTGGCTAAGGACTTCCAGTCCTATGCTGAATGGGAGTGGTAAGAGAGGACTTCCTTGTCTTGTTCTGGTTAACAAGGAGAATGCTTCCAAGTTTTGTCTGTTCAGTATGATGTTGGCTATGGGTTTGTCATAAATGGTTCTTATTATATTGAGGTATGTTCTTTCAATAACTAGTTTGTTGAAGGTTGTAAACATGAAAGGATGTTGAATTATATCAAGTTTTTTCTGTGTCTATAGAGATGATCATGTGGTTTCTCTTTTTACTTCTGCTTATGTGATAAATCACACTTATTGATTTGCCTATGTTGAAATGTCCCTGCATCCCAGTGATAAAGCCTACTTGGTCATGGTGTTTCAGCTTTTTCATGAGCTGCTGGATTCAAATTGTTAGTGTTTTATTTAGGATTTTTGCATCCATGACCAAGGATATTGATCTAAGTTTTCTTTTTTTATTGTGCCTCTGGTGAGTTTGAGTTTTGGTTTCAGGTTGATGCTGGCCTCATAGAATGAACTAGAGAGAAGTCCTTCTTCCTTCTTCTTTTTTTTTTTTTTTTTTTTTTTTGAATATTTTCAGTAGGAATGGTACCAGCTCTTCTTCATACATCTCATAAAATTTGGCTGTGAATCCATCTGGTCCTAGGCTTTTTCTGGTTGGTAACATTTTTATTACTGATTCAATTTCAGGACTTGTTATTGGTATATTGAGGGATTCCGTTTCTTCTTGGTTCAATCTTGGGAGGTTGTATGTTTCCAGGAATTTCATCTATATTTTCTAGTTTGTGTGCATAGAGGGGTTCACAGTCTCTGAGGGCATTTTTGTTTTTCTGTGAGGTTAGTGGCAATGTCCTCTTTGTCATTTCTCATTGTGTTTATTTGGAACTTCTGTCTTTTTTCTTTATTTGACTACTTAGTGGTCTATCAATCATATTCATTATTTCAAAACACAAACTGCTGACTTCATTGATCTTTTATATGGTTTTTCACATCTCAGTTTCCATCAATTCAGCTCTGATTTTTAGTATTTCTTGTCTTCTCCTAGCTTTGGGGTTGGTTTGCTCTTGTTTCTCTAGTTCTTCTAGGTGTGCTGTTATGCTATTTATTTGAGGTCTTTCTAATTTTTTGATGTGGAGGTTTAGCACTATAAACTTACCTCTTAGCACTGCTTTAGCTGTCTGCCAGAGATTATGTTAAGTTGTAACTTCATTCTTATTAGTGTCAAATAATGTCTTAATTTGTGCCTTAATTTCATTGTTTACCCAAAAGTCATTCAGGAGCAGGTTAATTTCCACGTAATTGTATAGTTTTGAGCAATTTTCTTAGTATTTACGTCTATTTTTATTGCACTGTTGTCTGAGAGTGTGTTTGGTACGATTCATTATTTTGAATTTGATGAGGATTTTTAATGTCTATTGTGTAGTTTAATTTATTTTATTTCATTTTATTTTAAGACAGTCTTGCTCTGTCACCCTGGCTGGAGTGCAATGGCGCGATCTCGGCTCACTGCAACCTCTACTTCCCAAGTTCAAGCGATTCTCCTTCCTCAGCCTCCTGAGTAGCTGGGATTACAGTCATGTGCCACTACGTCCAGCTAATTTTTGTATTTTCAGTAGAGACGGGGTTTCACCATGTTGTCCAAGCTGGTCTCGAACTCCTGACCTTGTGATCCACCTGCCTCAGCCTCCCAAAGAGCTGGGATTACAGGCATGAGCCACTGCACCCAGCCTGTGTGGTTGATTTTAGAGTATGTGTCATGTGCAGATGAAAAAATGTATATTCTGTGGTTTGGGGGTACACAGTTCTGTAGATATCTATTAGGCCCATTTGGTCAAGTGTGGAGTTCATGTCCAGAATATCTTTGTAAGTTTTCTGCCTCGATGATTTGCCTAATACTGTCAGTAGGATCTTGAAGTCTCCTACTATTATTGTGTGGTTATCTAAGTCTCTTCATAGGTACCTAAGAACTTGCTTTATGAATCTGGGTTCTTCTTTATTAATTACATATATACTTATGATAGTTGTATGTTATATATCTATATATATAAAACTATATATATACATATATACATAGATAGTTGTATGATACATACTTATGATACATATATACTTCTTGTTGAATTGAACCCTTTACCAAAATGTAATGCCTTTGTCATTTTTATTGTTGTCTTAATGTCTGCTTTGTCTGAAATTAGAATAGCAACCCCTACTTTTTTCTGTTTTCCATTTCCGTGGTAGTTTTTCTCCATCCCTTTACTTTGAGCCTATGGGTGTCATTGTTAGTAAGATGGGCTTTTGAAGAGAGCATACAGTAGGGTCTCACTTCTTTATCCAAATTCTCACTGTATGCCTCTTAACTGGGGCATTTAGGCCACTTACATTCAAGGTCAATATTGATATGTGCAGATTCGATCCTGTCATCATGTTGTTAGGTGCTTCTTATGGAGCCTTGATTGCATGGTTGCTTTATAGTGTCCATGGTTTATATACTTAAGGTATGTTTTTGTGGTAGTGGGTAATGGTCTTTTATTTTCATATTTAGCACTCCCTTGAGTACCTCTTATAAGGCAGGTGTGGTGGTAATAAATTATCTTAGCCTTTGCTTGTCTGAAAAGTATCTTATTTCTACTTTTCACTTACAATGCTTATTTTGGCTGGATACAAAATTCTTGGTTGGAGTTTCTTTTCTTTAAGAATGCTGAATATAGGCTCCAATCTCTTCTGGGTTGTACAGTTTCTGTTGAAAGTTCTGCTGTTGGGCTTCTCTTTGCAGGTGACCTGTCCATTCTCTCTAGCTGACGTGAATATTTTTTCTTTCATGTCAACCTTAGAGAACCTCATGATGATGTGTTTTAGGGATGGTTGTCTTGTATAGTATCTCACAGGGGTATGCTGCATTTTCTGAATTTGAATGTTGGCCTCTCTAGTAAGGTTGGGGAAATTTTCATAGATGATATCCTCAAATACGTTTTCCAAGTTTGTTGTATTCTCTCCCTCCCTTTCAGGGATGTCAATGAGTCATAGATTTGGTCTCTTTGCCTAACCTCACATTTCTCGGAGGTTTTGTTTATTTTTTATTATTCTTTCTTTATTTTTGTCTGAGTTAGTTTGGATAAAAAGTCTTTTAGATCTGAGATTATTTCCTTAGCTTGGTCTTTTCTGCTGTTAATACTCTGTTATTACTTGTGGTTGCGTTCTGTAATTCTTGAAGTGTGTTTTAAGCTCTATCAGATCAGTTTGGTTCTTTCTTATAATGACTGTTTTTTCTTTCAATTCCTGTACTGTTTCATTGTAATCCTTACATTTCTTGGATTGTGTTTTGACTTTCTCCTGAATCTCGATGATACTCATCCTTGTCCATATTTTGAATTCTGTGTCTGTCATTTTAGCTATTTCAGCCTGTTTAAGAACCTTGCTGGGGGACTAATGTGGTTATTTGAAGGAAAGCAGACACTCTCTTTGTGTTCCCAGAGATCTTGTGATGGGTCTTTCTCATCTGTGTGGGCTGGTGTGCCTTTAAATGTGGTGTTATTTGTGTATAGTCAGTTGACTTTGTTTCTGGATGTTTACAGAGGGCCAAGACTTTATGCAGAGTCTTTAGTTGTAGCTGAATTCTTGTCCTTGGTTTTATGAGGGGGTGTATTAGCAAAGTATTTTTGGTATTGAAGTTTCAGCTATGATCTGCTATTTTCTTAAGTCTAAATTTAAACAATTTATGTGCACCGTATTCCAATTTATTTAGCAAATGACGCTTAAAATAATTTTTGTTTTCCAACATTACACATAGCTAATAGAATGCCTCAGTCAACAATATAAAGATTCCAGTAAATCTCACTTTATATGTTAAGAATATAACAAACATACCAAAATATTTCTAATAATTAACATTAGATAAAATAATCACCTTTTAAATTTAATAATTGCTTTAATAGTCTCTCAAAATTTTAGACACCCGTAACCTCCTTAAAAACCACAATTAACTATTGTGTTATTAATGAATACAATAAAAGACAACAGTTTTAATAGGTTTCTGGTATTTATCTTTGCATATATTTGTAGTGTTTTCTTGCTTACTAGAAGAGATGGTCTCTGAACTCATTTCTGTTAAACTTCACAAGTTTTTCTTTCTTGATTTTCATATCTATTCTTGATCAAGAAATTCAATTGTTCCAATTAGTGGGAGAAAAATTCAAGAATGTCAAAACAAATAGTTAAAAAGAGTGTATTATTGTATCTCTTAATTTACAAAGGTCTCTCACCTATTTCTCAGAGCAAGCAACTTCAGAAAATAAATCCAGTGCTAAATTTCCCTGTTGATTCTCTACTAGATTCACTACTATAAATCGATTATGTTCGAGCATGTGTCTGAAAGTTGATCCTATAAGACGAAAGGTTAAAGAGTGAATCATTATCTAACACACTTGAGAGAGTTTTAACAGTTAAATTTTATAATCTAAGGAAGGATGGATGCTAAGAATAAAAGGAAATAATAGTACCAGTTTATAAGCAAATGCTTTAAACTGGTTTTATTTAACTAAGTTTTCATGTCATTATAAGAAAGATCTAGCTAAAAAAAATAAGTCCATAAAATTTCACATACAAAATAGAAAATTGTGGATTAGGCTTATTCCCTTTAGCTAAATAATTCAATAGCTATCATTTTCTTCTGGTTATGATTTAGTGGTAAAATATACATTGCCTATGATCTTCATTTATTCCTTGAGCTTCTACTGTATCTCAAATAAAGCCCTGAGAATTTAAAAATGAATTTGTCAGTGTATTTGAGGTCCACTGATTGAGGAAATTAAGCAAATGGGTAATATTGAACTAATAAAAATTATACAAAAATATGGCCTTGCCATTAATCAGGCTGTGATAACAAACACTCTCAAATCTTTCTGCAAAGTTAACAAGAAACAATGTTTCTCTCAAGTTGATGTTGTAACATTAAAGTGTCATAATTATCCACTTTTTAAAAATCTTTAAATTTTTTAAATTTTTTTCTT
Organism: Homo sapiens; assembly: GCF_000001405.40. Classification (NCBI taxonomy): domain Eukaryota; kingdom Metazoa; phylum Chordata; class Mammalia; order Primates; family Hominidae; genus Homo; species Homo sapiens. Next base: position 187,726,868 of record NC_000002.12, read on the forward strand.
TTTCACAGACAGGGTCTAGCTCTGTCACCAACCCTGGAGTGCAGTGGCACAATCATAGCTCACTGCAGCCTCAAACCCCTAGGCTCAAATGATCCTCCTGTCTTAGCCTCCCAAGTAGCGAGGACTAAAATTATCCTCTTTTTTCAAGTAACTACTGCTTTCCTCTTTTTTCAAGTAACTACTGCTTTCTTGTCAACAATGTCCCTGACCTTGCTTGATATATCTCTATCAAGAATACTAAGGTACTCAGTATGAACCTTTCATTGCCTCACAAAAGCAACAAATCCAGACCTTATTTCTGCAAAACATCTGGACTCCTCAGAAATATTTACTGCCAGACCAACCTATACAAAAACCCTTTTTTACTACATCAGATGTCCTATAGCTCCCATAGACAATGTTCTCCCTTGTTGCAACAAGTAAATAAACTTAATTTTTTGTTTTTAAATAAATTTTGTTGCCTATATTTAAGATATACAACATGACTCTCATGTTCCTTGCAGCATTATTCACAATAGCCAAAATACTGATTATAACCTAGGTGTCCATCAATGGATTAATGGATAAAGAGACTAAGGTATATAGACAAAATGGAAGGTTATTTAGTCTTAAAAAAGGAAGAGATTATGTCATTTGCCATAACATGGAGGAACCTGGATGACATTATGCTGAGTAAAATAAACCTAATATTTTGGACTGTAGATTGCTTCTGACGGTTTTCATTAGATAGGCTTTATCGATAGTGAAATGAAATGAAATAAAATGCTAACTTCTCTTTTTAGCTGTTAAACAATATGGCTTCTATCATATATTTCTTTTCTCATTTTTATATTTTATATTACAGAAAGCATAAAGAAGGACACAAAAATGTTTTGATTATTTTAAACTCTTTATCACACAGTCCAAAATCACATAAATATTAGAAAAGGAAGCTCTCTTGGAATTATCATAAAGAAATTATGACAGATTAAAGCAGAGAAAATATTAGCCAGGAAATCAAAGTATTCTGAGTAGTTTATAATTGAAATACAAAGTAATTCACAATATAAGTAACATATTAGATGTCAATTATATCATGTTGACATGTAAGAGTCAACCATATACAAAACTTTTACTTGTAAAAAACACTTTAATATTTCATATCTTTTTATTTAACCAAATTTTGTAGAAATGTTTACATTTTATATAATCCTATTTCTTACATGGTTGAGAAACAAAAAATGATACTGGTTATGGATAAAACACTAGATTGGCAATTGGTTAGAATGATAAATTTTCATTTCACTAGATTTTCATTTCACTAGATTTTCATTATTTATGTCCATGATTATTTATCTTTTTCATGCAGTTTTAAGCACTTATTGCAGGTCAAGTGTGATGAAAGATACTGAATAAACAAAAAGGGATGACCTAGGATGGTCACAGTCTTGGAGGAAGAAAATAGAAATATTGCAGTGCCATATGCTGAGCATGAAATTACTTTTATAGAATACTGTGTAGTTGCAAATGATTCCAAATCAAAGTTTTGGGGGCTTTGAGGGAAGGCTTTGCTACTAGGTGATATCTGAAAAAGTTCTATCTGTACTACCTAAAAGAATAGCAATATGGATAGCTACAGTGCTAATAACTGTCATTCACCAAATGCTTTATCTGTGGTCTGTACTGTGTTATACAAAGAGGGTTTATATCTTCTTAATCCTCATGAGATAGTTATTATTCTGGTGTCTTTTGTAAAAATGAGAAAATGAGGTTTTTATAGGTTAAATATTTTATATTTGTTCAAGGTTACAAAGAGAGATGGAGTCAGGACCTTAAGTTAGCTTTCTTCTTACCAGAGTCCACATGCCTTTTCAATATTAATATCAAACATTATATACAACTAGTGAGTTCACTACCTAGAAGAAGCTTTACAATGCTGTTTTTTAAAAATATGTACTAATATTTGTAAAAGAAATAGACTGCTATGCATTTCCAGATCAGGGGGATATGGTTTAAATGAGGAGATTTTTTGCTTACTGTCAATAAAGGGTAAAACTAACAGCACCCAGATATAAAGTCTGAAAAGGAGACGGAATAATGAACACTGGGGAATAGTGAGGGAGGGTAAATGTGTCCGTGTGTGTGTTATTGGAGGGTTTCCTACGTCCCCAAAGTGAATCATTAGACAAAACAAAAAATAAACTTCACCTATTTAAGGGAAGTTATTTTTCTAGGGCAGCATTTCTATAATTGGTTTTCCAGAATACTCTTTCAATGAGATACTAGGGGAGGGAATGTGGAAAGAAAGAAGTGAATATTTCTCTGGTCAAATGCACTTGGCAAATACAGTGCACTATTAGCCATTCACAAATCTCATAAACACGTTAGAGCCTTCAAAAATTTCAGTTAACTTGATATAACTGAACTTGATGTAACCCAGTACTTAACAGCCATTCCATAATTTTTCAGAGTTGGTGGTATTAGTTACTACCAACACACTTTGAGAAATGTTGGTTTATGGACACAGGAATATGTTCAGAGATTAAGAAGCAAATACAAAATTCTAATTCTTTTTTTTTAATCAATGAAAGATTTTAATTCACTTGTAGTTTTCTAATAAACGTAGCCTTTGAAAAATGTGCTTGAGGTTTAAATTTTTTAAATTGCATATTTAGGCAATAAATGCCTCTGATGAGAGCTAGAGATCTAATAAAAATGGACCCATTCTGGAATAAGCAAGGAGTAAATTAGTAAATGTGCTGTGTTCTCCCCTCCTGAGGACAGAAGGCTGGCTATAACCAAAACCTACACAGACACTCAAATTATGGTCCTACACATTACAATACCATTTTATAGTGAAATATGATATAATTCATGATAAATAAGTTCATTCTGATGTATTTATTAATCCTTTTTAAAATTCTCCTTGAGATGAATTTTGGATTCCAGTGCAGGCCTGAATTTCACAGACGTTAACTCTATTAGGAAATCCTGTGAAAAGTTAACAGAAGGATTTATCTTAAGAGGTACACTGGGAAAATTTCATTTTCTTCTAGCTGCAGACTGGAAATGAAATGATAGTGCTATATCTTAAAATAAGTCAGTGGAAAAACAAGACATATAAAAGAATTATTTTCAGTAGTTTGAATTCAAATTTAGATAAACCTTAACTGAGTATGCCTTTGTAGTGTGCATTTATGTTTATAAACTAGTAAATATACATTGTAATATTAAAGTAGAAGTGTTGCGATTTTTCCAAATAGGTGATTATGTAAAGTTCTAGATTATTATTTTTTTCATTATTTTCCCAGTACTTAGATTTGGCTAGTGCTTAATGATTTCCTTTTTCTAAAAAACAATAAGAATGAGTTGGCAGGAGCTCCTCTGCCAAATGATTATTTAAATGCTGTTTTGAACTGTGTAAAAGCACAGGAGACAGGGGCCTAATTTCCTCCAAAATGTATATGTAGGGCACAGAGAAAGCACTTGGAATATGACTTCAATTACTTAGATAAAATTCACTTAAATGGTATTTGTGTGTGTGTATATATTCACATATATATAATATACACATGTGTATATGTGGTGAATATATGTACATGTGTTGCATATGTGCATATATATGTATTTATAAGTGTGTACACATGCACATATACACAAACACAAATAAATACAGAACTACGTTTTCTCTATGTCATGATGCCCAAGTACATACCAATGATAAACAATCTTATTTCATCATTGAACTTATCTCAAGGGTTGGCAATTTAACATGGACAGTGAAAGCTTTTTTTATATTGCTTAAAATACAAGACCAAATGTAAATCCAGTGTATATCTGTCACAGTTGCCATTTTCATTAATGAATATTAATCTAAAATAAAACCAAGAATATATGATTTTATAAAGAACCTTCATTTAATTTCACATTATTTGGGATTATTTTACTATTTAATTGAAAACAAAAGGCCGGGAGTGGTGGCTCACACCTGTAATCCCAGCACTTTGGGAGGCCGAGGCAGGCAGATCACAAGGTCAGGAGTTCGAGGCAGGTGGATCACAAGGTCAGGAGTTCCAGGCCAGCCTGTCCAACATGGTGAAACCCTGTCTCTACCAAGAATACAAAAATTAGCCAGGCGTGGTGGCGCGTGCCTGTGGTCCCAGCTACTTGGGAGGCTGAGGCAGGAGAATCGCTTGAACCCGGGAGGCAGAGGTTCCAGTGAGCTGAGATCGCACAACTGCACTCCAGCCTGGGCGGTGGAGTGAGACTCTGGCTCAAAAAAAAAAAAAAAAAAAAAAAAAGAAAAAAAAAAGAAAATGAATCATTTTTAACACATTTCTAAAGCGAAAGGTCACTTTTCTGAAATTTTATGAAACAAAAAAATCATTAACGAGTATATAGATTTCAATAGAGCATGGTGATTAAATTAAATTTCTTAAGTACATTTTCTTTTGCCAGCAATATATTAGATACAGAAGGCACAGGGGATTTAAGCAATTCAGAATACTTTTGACAAGGTATTTCAATGACTGGCAATGTAGTAAATTTAAGGACAAATAAGTAAAACATGCATAATTAAATTCTCACTAAGAATACAAAATGTTACATAGATTTGAAATAAAATTTCATAGAAGATATATAGCTGATACCATTTCAGAGATGCTATTAACAACTGTAGTAAAGAAAATTTGAACTTGTAGGGAAAAAAATAATAACAGGCAAAACAGAAAATTATATGGTATATGTGGAAGGCATGAGCTGAGCTGCTGTCATGAAAAGGAAAGGACAAAAAGTATTTCTATGAAGACAATGAGTATTACAGTTACATTCTTTATATTTATTTGAAGAGAAGTTACTGATGGTAGAAATATAAGGTACATTGCAAGATGCATTGGAAGGAGAGGAAAAAGCACTGGAATGGAATTTGTAGAGGCCAGAGCAGGCAGTCAGTAACCTAAGAAATATGTGGTAAGGAATTAGACCAGGAGTATGGTAATTCAACAAATAATTATGAAAGGACTCTGAAAGCTAAAAGGAAGAAGATAGATTATCTAGGAATCTTTGGACTTAAGGGATGACCGTGTGATGAGTTCCTTGGGTTGTGTTTTTGTTTTTTGTACGCTATATTAAGCTGGGTGCTAAAATCTGCAAACCTGAACAACAAACAAGCATAGAAAAACAAAAATGAAACAAGAAAATTCTGTTGTCTATGACCAAAGAGGCAGGCCAGCAGTGACTATATGGGAAGATCTATCACCCAATGCCCACCTAGGGCAGCAGTAACAGATCTGCAGCAGCAGCAGCAGGGACCTGCCCACACCTGGGGCAATCATGAGCCAGATTTACAACTGCACCAGCATAAGTCATTTTAGAAAAAGACTCAACCATACCCACAACCAGTGGTAATGGCAAGCCTGACATGTTAGCACCTATGTCACAAAAGAACTGGTGTTTTCTAGCTCTCTAATGATGAGAGCAAGTGACCTACATCTATTTTTTTCTGAACTTCTCACCCATTAGCACTGGACAACCCAGATAGCACTTGTTGAAATGAACTGGAGCCCCAATAGCTTCATAAGAATGAAGCAGACCAGAAAATTATTGCAAGACCTCTGAAACTACAGTTCATAAAAACAGATTTACATGCTAAGCCTATATAGGGTGGCTAACTGTTAAAATAAAAGATTTAAATAGGATCAAAAATTTCTTAATACCCCAAATGTCTAAAATACAATTTAAAATATTTTATTTTTGTATATGTATATACTTGTTTTATCTTTGTATATTTTGTATATAATATGTTTATATATAGAGAGGTATCTAGCTATATATAGGTATATATTATAGAAATCTATATCTATATATATTAAATACCAAGAATCAGAAAAAAACATAACTTGAATGAGAAAAGACAATCAACTAATGTTAAAACTATCAGATGTTGAGATTGTCTATCAAGATTTTTAAAGCATCCCTGTGGTTCTGTTCATTTGTAATTGCTTGTTGCTTCAACAATTATAAATTATCTTGAAGCTTTTGTTGCCATTGCTTTTGGTGTTTTAGACATGAAGTCCTTGCCCATGTCTATGTCCTGAATGATATTGCTAGGTTTTCTTCTAGGGTTTTTATGGTTTTAGGTCTTATGCTTAAGTCTTTAAACCATCTTGAGTTAATTTTTGTATAAGGTGTAAGGAAGGGATCCAGTTTCAGCTTTCTACATACGGCTAGCCAGTTTTACCAGCACCATTTATTAAATAGGGAATCCTTTCCCCATTTCTTGTTTTTGTCAGTTTTGTCAAAGATCAGATGGTTGTAGATGTGTGGTATTATTTCTGAGGGCTCTGTTCTGTTCCATTGGTCTATATCTCTGTTTTGGTACCAGTACCATGCTGTTTTGGTTACTGTAGCCTTGTAGTATAGTTTGAAGTCAGGTAGTGTGATGCCTCCAGCTTTGTTCTTTTGGCTTAGGATTGTCTTGGCAATGCAGGCTTTTTGGTTCCATATGAACTTTAAAGTAGTTTTTTCCAATTCTGTGAAGAAAGTCATTTGTAGCTTGATGGGGATGGCATTGAATCTATGAATTACCTTGGGCAGTATGGCCATTTTCATGATATTGATTCTTCCTATCCACGAGCATGGAATGTTCTTCCATTTGTTTGTATCCTCTTTTATTTCATTGAGCAGTGGTTTGTAGTTCTCCTTGAAGAGGTCCTTCACATCCCTTGTAAGTTGGATTCCTAGGTATTTTATTCTCTTTGAAGCAATTGTGAATGGGAGTTCACTCAGGATTTGGCTCTCTGTTTGTGTGTTATTGGTGTATAAGAATGCTTGTAATTTTTGCACATTGATTTTGTATCCTGAGACTGCTGAAGTTGCCTATCAGCTTAAGGAGATTTTGGGCTGAGACGATGGGGTTTTCTAGTTATACAATCATGTCATCTGCAAACAGGGACAATTTGACTTCCTCTTTTCCTAATTGAATACCCTTTATTTCCTTCTCCTGCCTGATTGCCCAGGCCAGAACTTCCAACACCATGTTGAATAGGAGTAGTGAGAGAGGGCACCCCTGTCTTGTGCCAGTTTTCAAAGGGAATGCTTCCAGTTTTTGCCCATTCAGTATGATATTGGCTGTGGGTTTGTCATAGATAGCTCTTACTATTTTGAGATACAGCCCATCAATACCTAATTGATTGAGAGTTTTTAGCATGAAGGGTTGTTGAATTTTGTCAAAGGCCTTTTCTGCATCTATTGAGATAATCATGTGGTTTTTGTCTTTGGTTCTGTTTATACGCTGGATTACGTTTATTGATTTGCATATGTTGAACCAGCCTTGCATCCCAGGGATAAAGCCCACTTGATCAACAAAAGCCAAAATTGACAAATGGGATCTAATTAAACTAAAGAGCTTCTGTACAGCAAAAGAAACTACCATCAGAGTGAACAGGCAACCTACAGAATGGGAGAAAATTTTTGCAATCTACTCATCTGACAAAGGGCTAATATCCAGAATCCACAAAGAACTCAAAAAAATTTACAAGAAAAAATCAAACAACCCCATCAAAAAGTGGGCAAAGGATATGAACAGACATTTCTCAAAAGAAGACATTTATGCCGCCAAAAGACACGTGAAAAAATGCTCATCATCACTGGCCATCAGAGAAATGCAAATCAAAACCACAATGAGATACCATCTCACACCAGTTAAAATGGCGATCATTAAAAAGTCAGGAAACAATAGGTGCTGGAGAGGATGTGGAGAAATAGGAACACTTTTACACTGTTGGTGGGAGTGTAAACTAGTTCAACCATTGTGGAAGTCAGTGTGGTGATTCCTCAAGGATCTAAAACTAGAAATACTATTTGACCCAGCCATCCCATTACTGGGTATATACCCAAAGGATTATAAATCATGCTGCTATAAAGACACATGCACACGTATGTTCATTGCGGCACTATTCACAATAGCAAAGATTTGGAACGTACCCAAATGTCCATCAATGATAGACTGGATTAAGAAAATGTGGCACATATACACCATGGAATACTATGCAGCCATAAAAAATGATGAGTTCATGTCCTTTGTAGGGACATGGATGAAGCTGGAAACCATCATTCTCAGCAAACTATCTCAAGGACAAAAAACCAAACACCAAAAAAACCAAACATGTTCTCACTCATAGGTGGGAATTGAACAATGAGAACACTTGGACACAGGAAGGGAAATATCACACACTGGGGCCTGTCGTGGGGTGGGAGGAGGGGGGAGGGATAGCATTAGGAGATACACCTAATGTAAATGATGGGTTAATGGGTGCAGCACACCAACATGGCACATGTTTACATATGTAACAAACCTGCACATTGTGCATATGTACCCTAGAACTTAAAGTATAATAAAATAAAATATCTTGAAGCAAATGAAAAATAGGCAAAAACTCAGCCAAAAAAAAAAAAAAAAAGAAAGAAAAAAGAAACCTAATGGAAATTGTAGAACTGAAAAATACATTAGTGAATAGAAAAATAAACTTGCTGGATGGGCCTAATTCAACAGTGGATATGATAAAAGATAGCATCAGGAAATTGAGGACAGAAAAGTAGATTTTATTCAGTCTGAACAACAGAGAGAAAATTGATTGAAGCAATGAACAAAGCCTCAGAGACTTGTGAGATAATAACATAAGGCTGAACATTCTATTATAGAAATCTTAGAAGACAGAAATAAATGAGTAGGGCTGAACAAATCTTCAAAGGAATAATTGAACCCTTCCCAAATTGGAAAAAGACATAAACTTACAGATTCAAAAAGCTTAGTGAATCTCAAATAGGGTAAACCTGAGGAAATACACATAAAGACATATCCTGATGAAACTTAAAAATGAAAGACAAAAAAGTTTTTTAAATGACCAAAGAGCAATGTTGCCTTATTTAGAGAGGAACACCAATTCAAATAACAGTACATTTCTCATCTGAAATCATGGAAGCCATAAAAGTGGTAGAACATTTTAAGTGGTGAGAGAAAAGAACTGCCAACCGGGCATCACATATTCAGAGAATAATCCATAGCAAGGCATTGTAGCACAGGGAAAACAGTGAGAAGACTGTAATGATAATGCAGGAGATAAATTATAATGTCTGGAGGTCTGGATTGTTATTTTATTTCTATAGACCACTGCTTAGTGTTACTTAGAATCAAATTATATACTAATTAGATGTTAGAGGGTACTTGGAAATAGACATGAGTTTGTATTTGTTATTAGTGTTACCTTTCAATGTATAATTCAGAGAAAACACAGTAGAAATAGTAAGAAAAATACATGACAGATTTTAAAGGAACACAAGTTTAAATAAAAACAATTTTCCTAGAAGTATAAATAATCACACAGAAAAAAAGTCATTAGAGGTTATTCAACCAAAGATGGGGGTAATCACATAAAAACTGGAGCTAATGGAAAAAAAATACTTTAAATTTCATATATTTAGTATTTAGAGTCTTCCTAATATAAAAGTTATTTCTGAGTTAGCGACTATTCTCTAATTGTACATATCATAATAAATATATCAATATGTAAAGCTCTCACGAATAAAATGAATTAAATATTGAAATTGAAAATCAATTTTTTCTTTTGCAAATTAATAACCACAAGTTCCATGTGTATCATGTGTATACAACAATCTAAAATGCTACGAGGATTTTTTATAACTTATTTTAAAAGATAAAAAGGGAATAATTTGATTAGCTTTATAAATAAGTAGGACATATCTGTATCTTATGTAAGACAGTTAATCCCTCAGAACATCTCTTTTTCATCAGTTTAAGCTCGTAGTTAATTTCTGGCTTTGAATTTTCTGAGGTAATATACCTGTATTCAGATTTTTTTAATGGAAAATTTTAATGTTTTGGGGATGGTATTACATGTATAGATCATAGAATCTTCACATCCCGATGCTTGGGAATATGGAGTTTCATTGGGACTAAATCCTCACGTATACACAGACAACAAAGATGGAAAACTAGCCCATTTCCTTATACTTTAAAGGATGAGATTTTTTTTTGCAAGTATATTTATGACAGAAAGCTTTTTTAAAGCTTATCATTAATATAATTGATACATAGATTAAATATCAATAAGACTTTGAATCTACCTTATGTTGTAATTCAGCAACAAAATAAGTATAGATCATTATTTATCTCAATATAAAATTATCTTCAAAAATATATATTTCTTAAAGCTTACCACATTAAATTAACATGGTGATGGAGTTTAGATTAAAATATTTTTAAAAAAATAATTGAGGTACATGACAAACAATTGAAACGATCCATGATATATAAGCTAAATGGCAACTATCTACTTAACTAGATATTCTATCACCTTTAATGAAATTAAAGAAGGATAAAATACTAGCTCAGATTAATGGCATAGTCATTAATTGTGCTATATTCACATGGTCATTTCCCCTTGTAATTTCATTTTCCTTACTCCATTCCTGAACACTGAAAATGGTTAATGGAACTTCCACATTCATTTGTGAGCTGAGAATTATCTCTCTTTGGAAGCCTTGAAACTATTGACTGATTATACAGGAAAAGAGTTTAGCATTGATAAAGAGCAACCATTTTCAAGTCTGTATTTTAGTTCTTCCTGTTGCTGTCAAATACAAAGTTGATATTCACATGAAACACCTTTTAAAAGTTGTTTTACATTTATATGTTCAGAATTTTATCAAAAGCAAAATTCTTCTAACCACACATCAGAAATATTTATGGAAATATTACTTCTATGTGCACTTCATTAAGCAGCTATCAAATTCCAGGTAAGCATTGCATTGTATACTTTGTTATAATCCATATTTGTTGTGGCAAGATTCTCTTTGGCTCTTTGCCCTTTATTAGTTCAATATTCAAACGGAGATGAGTTAGAGTTTTCAGCATTTGCTTAAGTAGGTGGGGACTAGGCAATGGGATTAGGAAATAATAGTATCCAGATAATTTGTTAATATTTTCTCAGTTGTGTAAATGTGTCATTATATTTACTTTTTGCTTCTTGTAAGAGTACATACTGAGTGAAAAATGTTGTTTTGCATTAATAATGTGACTCTGCATTTCATGCAACTTCATATGTTATTGCATTATGGTAGATTTAGTGCTTTTTATATTCTACTCTTTCTGATAAAAGAAAAATATTTTATAAACTGACTTTCCCTTATAGGTTATCTCATATAGACTGAGTCCCAGAGTACTAAGAATAAAAAATTTTATTTAGACTTATTTGATAAAATGTACACTTGTACTTGTTTCATTTAATTATATTTTTTATTTGTGGAAGAAAGAAAATGTTAGTGTAATCTTATTAGGTTTTGAGTCAATATTTGATTCCATAAGAAAAAGTCAAAATAATAATAACATTACTATTATAACTCATTTTGTGAATTAATGACAATGTTGTACTAATATTTCCCTGAAATCCAGCTTTTTTGTTTTATTATTGACAATCTTGAAAAAATGACTTTCTCAATGCCATAAAATTTTACAAAAATAAATATTCAGGCATATGAAAAGCTATCCTCATTTTTTCTAACCTAGAGGAAAGATAAATTATTCTTACCACTCTAATAATATTTTTTTACAAAGACCAGGTCTACTTGCTTCACATTTCACTGGCTTCAACCACAAGTGAAAGTGACTTATTATTATACTAGCAATTACTAAATTTTTCCCTTTTAATTTATACTAAAATGCAGAAAATGCAGTCACAATATTGCTCCTGAACTTTTTACCAGGTACCAGGAAGCAAAATATAAGTTAAAAGCAAATTGTATTAAATATATTCTCACAAATCAGAACAATTTCTACTTCAGTTCTAGACAGTATAAAGTAAAGGTGTCATGTGGTGAGGGCATAGGCATCCCAAGCTGACAGTGCGTCACCATTAATGTTGTCCAACATCATTGCATTTTTAAATCTTCTTTTCCTAAACTTTTTATGTCAAGAAAATGATTTATGGTTCTAAGTTACACAGTCCAGGATGAAATGCTCTACTTTAATTTCTGTTACTGACTTTGAGGTATAGATACCTAATGTGTTACCAGGCACTAAAATTTCAATTTGCTTTTTATTTTCCACAAGGTGACAAGAAAGTATTGAATTCCCATTTTACTTAGTAATACTTAAATACAATTCATTGAGATACACGAATATGATTCAAAAATATGTTAAAAGTAAAGAATTATCAGATCCAATATTCTTCTCAAAATTCTAGATATTCTGAATGGATTTTTCACACAAGTGAAAGCAGAACATCAATAAAACAGTTAGAAAACATTGAAAACTAGATAGACATGGCAAAAAAGAAAAAAGCCCAATTATTTTCCTCTTCCTATCATTATTTACAATCAAAAAACAAAAATAATCATTTGTAATTTTAAAAATACCCATTTTAATAGAAAATATTTGAGTGTCCTGTTTAATAGATTAAATTACCATGAGAATAATTATTTGATCAACTTCAGTGTGAATCTATTTGTGGATAAATTTATTTATGCAAATATACTTATTTTAAATATGAAGGCAATCTAACAACCTACTAGTAAAGACCAAAGAATTAAAATTTCTGGCTTTGAAGAATTTAAAAATTTAAAATGTTGTCTTGCTGTACTTCTGAGTTTGGAATATTGTCCTCTAATACTCTGATCTCTAGCTTTACATACAGTATTTGTTTCCTATTGCTTCTCTCACAAATTACCAAAAATGTATTGGCTTAAAACAACATAATGTATTATCTTTGAGCTACATCATAAATCCATCACCAATCTTGCTGGGCTAAGGATCAAGGGGTTGACAAGGCTGTCTCCCCTTTTTGGAGGCTAGTAAATAATTTGTGCTTTTGCTTTTTCTATTTATTAGAGGCTGTGCATATTCCTTGGCTCTTGAGCCCCTTCCTCCATCTTCAAAGTCAACAACATAGCATCACTGTGATCCTGTTTCCTTATCACGTCTCTTTCTCTGACTTTTCTTTCACATTCTTTTTTCACTTTAAAGACTTTTATGATTACATCAGGCCTACCAGATAATCCAGGATAACCTCCCTATTTTAAGGTCAGCTGATGAGCAACCTCAAGTCCCATTTACCAAATAACATATTCATAGGTTCTAGAGATTAGAATGTGGACATTTTTAGGAGCCATTTAAAGGTCCAATAGAGAAGAAACGAAAACCAGTTATACAAATTCCAAAAAATTAATGCAAAGTAGATGGAAAGGAATCATCTCACTGATGTATAGATTACATGCAACCATAATAAAATTTCCAGCCAGTAATTCTGATGAAAATGAAAAGAGCTTCTCAAAATTAATATGAAAATAATTTCAAGTTAACATAAACCATAATGTATCAAAAATTTTCATGTAAATTTAAGAAAATTTACCCTAATACAGTTCTTTTTGTTGTAGGTTAGACAATTTTTACTATAATAACATGTATTATTTGCTCCACATCTAATAGTTAAATATAGTAGTATTAATTTTATGTGATATTCCAGCATTCATTTTTATATGAAAAGCAGCTTAATATTGAATATATTTGTATTTGTATACAAGTAATAATTTATATCTAGAATCCTAGAATTCTAGAGCTATAAAATACCTTAGAAGTTCTTTTTTTTTTCAGTTTTTCCTAGGCTCTCCATTCTGAAAAACTAATATCATTTAATGATATATAATCATTGGTGTTTTTCGTTTGTTTGTTTTTTTGCTTGCTCTGTTGCCCAGGCTGGAGTGCAGTGGCATGATCTTGGCTCACTGCAGCCTCCACCTCCTGGGTTCAAGTGATTCTCCTGCCTCAGCCTCCCAAGTAGCTGGGACTACAGGCATGCACCACCATGCCTGGTTAATTTTTGTATTTTCAGTAGAGACAGGGTTTCACCATGTTGACCAGGCTGGTCTCGAACTCCTGACCTCAAGTGTTCTGCCCACCTCGGCCTCCCAAAGTGCTGAGATTACAGGCATGAGCCACATTGTTCATTTTTATAAGCTGAAATGTATTATATTTAGGAAAGAGTGATTTTACAAAGTTCAATGATGGACTTCACTTCTTTAATCTGCTAATATATATTTTGAATTTCCAAAGAAGAATAATAGTTTCCAATATTCTCAAATATCATTTTACTATCAAACATCCTATGGATCTAATGTGATATACACACACTTTGAGAATTTTTTCTCTACAGAGTGCCCAATAACAAATACCTTGTCCATTTCAAAATGTTCTTCATAGAGTTATCTGACCTTAAGTGAGCAATTATCATTTATACGTGACATAGCAGAGATAGTTGTCTTACACATTCCATGATACAGCCAATGCAAGGAAAATTTGTAAAATGAAGAAATTAACTAGGCACCATCAGTCTCTTCTACTAATTCATATTCATCAAACATGAACCTTCTCAATATTTTTCTAACCATCATTATGCTATTCCACTCTTCTATCCCTCATATGCAGTTCCTGATGTTCTCTTCTTCCTTCCTCTACCTATACTTTATTTCACAAGAGATCTCTCATCTATTGCTTCTTAATTGATTATTACAAAAATAACCTTTTTACTAACATTTAATTTTGGCTGTGTTGTCTACAGTAATTTGGCATTTATCAGAACAGATGAAATATACATTTAGGAAGAGGCTAAATTCCTAAATTTATATCATGCAATCAAAAATATCTTCACTTACTAGTTAGATGGATTGTACCTTGTTTGACTACATAAGTAAATTGTTCCCATGCCATCTTCTATTTTTCAGGCACTAAACTATGCATTAGGAAACCTGGTGCCTGTCACATAGTAGGTACCTCAATAATATCTGTTGATTTCTGAGTCATATTAATCTAATTATAACACTTGTTTCTTTCAGAGGTAAGTGAATATACAGGAAGCACACAGTCTTTCCTAATAAATATTTACTAGTGAATATGCCATTGATTTGCGACTCTCTTATAAGGTGCACAAAATAACAGCCATTTGGTGAAATAGACATTAACTCTGAGAAATCGCAGTTCAAACAAGCCTCCCTTAAGCTAATCCAATAAAAATATCTAAAGAAACGATAGGCATAATTGTTGGCAAGAAAGAGTATATTGAAAAAAATACTTAACATCAAACATTTTCAAATAAAACAGTGTTTTAAGAATTTTCCCTTTAAAGATACAGTTCTAACACTCCCTCACTGATAATAATCTGTCCAGGGGACTTAACAAGTGCTCTGATCTGTTCAGGCACTTAAAAAGTACCCTGAGAACCTCTGATTCAAATAAAGAACAGAGTTATTGAGAGTTTTCCTAAGTTGGTTTCAGAATAATTTCATGCTGTTTAATAAATATACTTTTCAGTTTGAGTACAAATTTACAAACATGGATTTATAAGTATAATAATTTAATGTGAATCTCATAAATTTTGATAGTCAAAAATAAATTTATGTGTCTAAGAGAACTAAGTCTACTTGATGAATTAAAATTTTAGAATATCTTGAAATGATGACAGATATTATTCATTAATTTCATTTCTGCTATTATGGGAAATATATCTAAGATAGAGTGATAGATTTTTTCATAAAAGTATTAATACATGTCCCAAAAGTTTAAAATATCCCAAGATGCCTGTCTTTATGTGGATACAGAGTTCTCCACAAAATCAAAATTTAAGTACAAAATTTGATTACAGATTCTAGCTTTCATTTATTTAAATATAGACACATACTAGGTTGGTGGAAATGTAATTGTAGTTTTTACCATTAAAAGTAATTAGCAAAAACTGCAATTACGTTTGCACCAACCTAATATATAGAAGTCAATATATAACACATCCAAGAGACAAATATTACAAATTACATATAAAACAAATTTATGCCACAAATATACTTGTTAGCTAATGTGTATAACACAAGAATATCTTCTAATATGCAATATTTACGAAGTCACAAGGTTAAAAATAATTTTAGAAAATTTATAAGGTCCTCTGAAAAATATCAATCTTCCATTAAAGTCATTAAGCTGAGGAAAATACTTTCCCTTTAATGTTTACTAACCAAACCTGAAATAATATTTCCTAATTTAGTATCTTTAGAAATTTTTCCATAAGCTTATATGAATAGTGTATAAAATTAATGTAGCTAAGAATAAATTATGAATAGATTTTGAGCTATATGAATTTTCTTAGCAATAATTTTAATTTGCTATATTTTCAGTAATGAAAAAGTAACATGTTAGATGCTTTAAAACTTTTAAAAGTTCTTTCTTTTAGTTTTAACATCTAAATAGTTATAATGGATACAGCAATTTTTATACCTTCACTCCATAGAATTAAAAATGAAGCTTACAGAATATATGTGATTTTGCTGAGATCCACCGCTAGACTTCTTTATTTATAACCTCTTGCCTGAACAATATATTCATTCATAATAATTTGACAGTGATTATTCAGAATGAGAAATTAAAATGATAGATGTTTTATAAGAAACATACATTTGTCTTTTTAAACCCTCATTATATTGGTTTTCACCTGGGCTACAGAAAGCTGGAAATAGTGTGACTTCTACTCTTTTCAAGATTAAAAGTCAGATAATCTACAAAATCAATCTACACGAGTATCTGTAAAAACTTTACTGTTAACATTGTACTCGATAGTAAAATATTGAAAAAAATTCTTGAAATCAGGAAAAAGGCAAAGATTCCAATTTTTACTGTTTTAATTTATGATTACATAGCAGTTCCCAGCCAATGTGAGAAGATGATAAATAAATAGACATAAGGATTGGAAAAAAACTAAATACACTCTAGCTAATATTCACAGAAGACATGAATATAAACAAAATTCTAAAAGTGCTGAGAAATAGACTATTAGAATTAACAGGTTAATCCATGGAGGCTTCTAGATACAAGGTAAATAAAAATAAAATCAGTCATATTTTAATATACTGGGAACAAATAGATACTTATATTTTTAAAGTGATAGCTTTTACAATAGCATTGGAGAAAATCCAGAATTTACTAAAGTAATCTAATAAAAGTTATACAAGAGTTTATTACCAAAGGTGATTGGAATAACAGAATAGAGGATTGTGAAACACATCCACACATAAATGGTCACTTGAGATATGACAAAGGCAAGAGTGTAGAAGTGAAGAAGAGTTTCTTTTTGATGAATAGTGCTGGGTCATTTGGATAGTTATATGGGATATAATATGTATAAGAACCACACACAAAAATCAATTCCATATGGATTTCATGTGTAAATATAAAATACTTCTACTTTAAAGGAAGATGTAGGAGAACATCTTTATGTACTTGTAGTAAGCAAGAATTTTCTTTTTAAAAAGGACATAAATTGTGCTAGGAAAAATGATACAACAGTCCATATTAAAAGTAGGAACTTCAGTTCGTCAAAAGACAACAGTAAGCAGGTAAAAAGAGTAGCCTACAGAGTTATAGTGTGGGAGAATATATGTTTGATGGGCATACTTGCAGAACATGTAAACATTCCAACAAATCAACAGAAATGAAAGATAGCTTAATGGACAATGGATGATTACAAGTTTCAAAATAAAATTTCCAAATAAAAAATTGTATAAAATGTGTTCAATGTAATTAAATATGCAATTAAATTATACAAAATAAAAGCACAATAAAGCTTCACTACCTCCACTAGAATGAATAAAATGGAACAAAATTTTATTTTTTTGGAGAATGATTTGGAGCAACTGGAACTCTCTGGTCCTTCATATGCATGTGTTATGAGCTAGCAATTACACATATGGTTATGTATCTGATCTGAAATCTGATCACATTCACAGAACCACTATTATAATACTCAAAACATAAAGACCAGCAGAATCCTTTTCAATAACTATAATGAATAATTAACTTGTGATGTGTTCTATTAACAAAATACTGTACAGCAATGAAAACGAACTGCAATTCCACACAATATGTGGAGTATTAATATCACAAACATGATATTAATATTCAAGCTTGCAAATAATTCATGTTTGTCATAAGAAAAGTTGAATAGATAAAGAGGTAGATAGCCATTTTTGAGAACAATCTAGAAATACATATAACAATGAATGTATTATTCCTTGGTATATCGTCCAAATTAACTCTCCTATATGAGTTCAAAAATACATATTTTAAAGGGTGTTCTTGCATATCTATTTGTAGCAGTGGAAAAATGGGAGAATACAGAAATATATCATTAAGCATAAATTTTACTAAGAAAATAAAAAATATAGTAAAATTTTTCAATAGGTATAGACCTCAAAACATAATTTAAATAAAAATTATAAAAATGAGATTATACACAAGTTCATCTATGTACATTTTTATATACACATAAACATATAAAAGAAATTAAGTGGACATAACTTAGCAAAAATGAATGAAGGATAGTGGAAAGTGATTATAATACTGGAATAAACAAAATATTAATGGTGATAATTATTTTAAAATGAGATGAATATAAGGCTTCACTCAGATTGATTATGATAGCATGCCATAAGTAACTAATAAGTAAATACATTTAAAGAAAAGGAAAACATTATGGATAAAGTGATAATTTTATAACAGGTATGTCTCAGTTAAAACACTGTTTATCAGCCAGACATGGTGGCTTATGCCTGTAATCCCAATGCTTTGGGAGGTTGAGCTGGGAGGATCCCTTGAAGCTAAGAGTCAGAGACCAGCCTGTGTGACACAGTGAGATCCTACCTCTACAAGAAGTAAAATTAATTTTAATATTGTCCATGTTGTCTGTTATAATAAATGTCTAGAATTGAATTTTGAGGGTAGTAATATTTTATATTTTATCCAGCAATAGGGTCAAGCACAAAAGTAAAGGCTGCAGAAGCTCCCAATGCCAGAAACTGCAGAGCCCCAAAGAAGTTGTCACAGCCCTGACTTGGGGAGCTCCTAGGTCTGGGCTCCCTGAAGGGCCACAGC
This sequence comes from Homo sapiens, assembly GCF_000001405.40. Taxonomy (NCBI): domain Eukaryota; kingdom Metazoa; phylum Chordata; class Mammalia; order Primates; family Hominidae; genus Homo; species Homo sapiens. Next base: position 187,745,829 of record NC_000002.12, read on the forward strand.
TCTTCTCTCCTTCTTGTTGCCTGCAATGTGGCAAGCAAAGGATGTGTTGCACAGCCTTCATTGGATTAATGCCTATTTGACATTGGAACTTGACCAAGTGGCTGTGAATGAAACCTCACCCTTGCCCGTTATTTATATCTCAGAAAGGGTTTTGAGAAGCACCTATGTAAGCTATATGCAAGGGCAAAGACAAACTATGTATGTGCAAATTAAACAAAAATAATTCTCACATTGTATATAAAATAATTGCTGCAGCAGAAGTATAGGCCCTCCAAACCATCTCTAAAGATCCAGACAATATTAAGTCTGGAATAGTATTTTCTAAGAGAAAGAAAAAAAAAAGAACATAGAATTTATCATTATCAGTTTGATCTCTATAGAAAAGATCCACAATGAAAGGACAAGCAAAGAGATTTGAATGCTTTTAAGTATAGAATGAGGACTAACAATTTGTGAAATTATAGTTAGAGAAAGGATGATTTTTAACATGGTAGTGTCAGTAGAATCATATCTCTAATAAAAGTTGCAATGGAGAGTAGTGAATTTTTGTCAGAAAGTGATTTTATATTCAATTTTGGATAACTCAAAAAGGTTTAATAATGACACTGTATACAAAGGTGTGGATAGGGTATAGTCAATCACAAAGAATCGTTAGTGTATTAATCCTTACACTACTAATAACAAGGCAGTGACATCGGAAAGGTCGGGGACAGAAGTGGTTACAGTGAAGTGTGCCACCAAAGAGAAGCTAACTTATTTTTCAGAAGAAAACACTAATCAGAAATTTTAAAATATAGAATAACTATACATTGAAAAGAATCTGAAAGCATTTTAGATTTACTTTGTTTAACTCTGTACAAAGAAATTAGAATAAACTAGATGAAGAGATATAATTATTTTGGGAAATTACATGTTGCTAAAACTGACCCCAGAAGAGGTAGATAATCTGAATAGGTGGATTCCTTTAAAGAAAATGTAACTAGTTGAATTATTCTTGAACCAAAGAAAGAGTTTCACAAAAATAAGCATTAGGACCCTATTGTTTTAGATAAACTAAGCAAAAATATATACATAAATACAATGCATAAATATGGAAGAGACAAGAAACTAAGAAATTGCCCAGTGTCGATACCACTCAGGCCATAGGCGTGGGCAAGGACTTCATGACTAAAACACCAAAAGCAATGGCAACAAAAGCCAAAATAGACAAATCGGATCTAATTAAACTAAAGAGCTTCTGCACAGCAAAAGAAACTACCATCAGAGTGAACAGGCAACCTACAGAATGGGAGAAAATTTTTGCAATCTACTTATCTGACAAAGGGCTAAGATTCATAATCCACAAAGAACTTAAACAAATTTACAAGAAAAAATCAAACAACCCCATCAAAAAGTAGGTGAAGGATATGAACAGAACTTCTCAAAAGAAAACATTTATGCAGCCAAAAGACACATGAAAAAATGCTTATCATCACTGCCCATCAGAGAAATGCAAATCAAAACCACAATGAGATACCTCCTCATACCAGTTAGAATGGTGATCATTAAAAAGTCAGGAAACAACAGGTGCTGGAGAGGATGTGGAGAAATAGGAACACTTACACTGTTGATGGGAGTGTAAATTAGTTCAATCATTGTGGAAGACAGTGTGGCGATTCCTCAAGGATCTAGAACTAGAAATACCATTTGACCCAGTGATCCCATTACTGAGTGTATACATAAAGGATTATAAATCATGCTACTCTAAAGACACATGCACACGTATGTTTATTGCAGCACTATTCACAATAGCAAAGACTTGGAACCAACCCAAATGTCCATCAATGATAGCCTGGATTAAGAAAATGTGGCACATATACACCATGGAATACTATGCAGCCATAAAAAAGGATGAGTTCATGTCCTTTGTAGGGACATGGATGAAGCTGAAAACCATCAATTCTGAGCAAACTATCACAAGGACAGAAAACCAAACACTGCATGTTCTCACTCATAGGTGGGAAATGAATAATGAGAACACTTGGACACAGGGTGGGGAACACACACTGGAGCCTGTCCTGGGGTCGGGGGAGCAGGGAGGGATAGCATTAAGAGAAATACCTAATGTAAATGACGAGTTAATGGGTACAGCACACCAACATGGCACATGTATACACATATAACAAGGCTGCACGTTGTGCACATGTACCCTAGAACTTAAAGTATAATAAAAAAAATAAATAAACATAACAATAAAACCCAGCATAAAAAAAAGAAATTGCCCAGTGTTGTTTAAACTTTTCCAGAGCTGACAGAATAAAAGTTTAGAAGTTATTTTTATAAGCCATAATATGATAAGCTTATAAGATAAATGTAATGATATAAGAGAACTATGGAAACTTTTTCCTCATAGACACCAATAGAAGAAACACAAAATATTGGGAAATACAACCCTGTAATACTATTAAGGAATAGTATACCAATGAAAAGTGAGATTCCTTTGCATCAATATTACAGAACCAAATTTCCCTGCCAAGACTATTTCCCTCTTTAATCCTTCCATATTGAATTAGAAGTGATGGAATTATTCCCCTCAAAATCCTCAATAATTGCTCCTTTGAAAAATAAAATGTAATCTTTTTAAAAACTTTAATTTGATATTTATAATGATTTGCATTTGTTCTAATCACAAACTTTTACTAATAGCTTTAAAGTATATACTTAGTCCTCTCTTTTTAAATAGATATCATCCATTAGTATAGCACAATGAACAATTTTGCAATTTTCTAATAAACTGTTTCTTCCACTTTCCTTCCCCTCTCCAAGATTCTTGCTTAAGGAAATATTATCTAACTCCTCGTTAACACTTAGAAGATATTAGTGAGCTTTCTCTACTAAGATTTCTCTCACCTATACCTTGATTTGGGATAATTTTATTATAACAATCCATCTATAATATCTTTCTAATCACTTTGATATAGATAGCTTTTTGTTATTTGTAAAGATAAATATATTCAATGCTCAATAGCATTCATTATGCAGACTTTTCTAAACATGTCTTGTCTGTTTGAAGAGGTTTCAGTGATAGATTGTTCAGAAAGCATGGATCAGAAACATATTCACTGATTTATTGCACATTTACATGTAGTAGCTTTTTATTTTCATCTGGCATGAAATTCAGTCTCAGTGTTACGGGATCCTTGGGTGTTGCCTTAGCAGCCAGAAACCTCTGTGCCCAGTGACACCGTTGCCCAAGTTCTGCTCAGGCCCACTGAGCCCACTCTGCCTGGTAGGCTGTGCTTGGCTCTCACTGCTGGCCTGGATCCCATCCCTGCCAAGGGCAAGCAGAATGGTGAGGGATATGTTAGTGAGCAAGCATAGAGTACAGCCACTGTGCACAGCCAAGCATGCTGGCTGAAGCAGGATGGGCAGCTCCAGGCACTGGCATGGGTGCCAGCTCCCTGCAAGGCTGCAGCTGGACCAGGTGTCCTGCTAGCAGCTTCCACGACTGGCACTGCAGAACACGTTGGTGACCAGAAGCTTGGAGATGCCAGAAACTGCACAGCCCCAAAGAGGGTGTCACAGCCCTGACTTGGGGAGCTCTTAGGTCTGGGGTCCCCGAAGGGCCACAGCTCTTTTCTCCTTCTTGTTGCCTGCAATGTGGCAAGCAAAGGACGTGTTTCAGCCCTGCTTGTGTTACAGCTTTTGCAGCCCTGTCATTAGGTGGATCCCGAGTTCTTGTCCTGTGCCTGGGAAGAATGAGGTACATGGACAAGTGGAAGGTGAGCAAGGTGAAGAGGAATTTTATTGAGTGATAGAACAGCTCAGAGGAGACTCACAGTGGGTAGCTCCTCTCCACAGCCAGGGTGGCCTGACAAGTGTTCAGTTCTCAGCAGAGAGGTCACTCCGGAGTGGGTAGCTCCTCTCCACATCTGGTCATCCTGATTGTCTGCTCAGTTCTCAGCAGAGAAGAGACCCTGGAGTGGATAGCTCCTCTCTGCAGCTGTTTGTCCTGACATCTCTTTTTAAATCTGGCTGACTCTGGGATTTTTATTAGCTTCAGAGGAGAGGAAGTGCATGCTGACTGGTCCATGGGCAGCCATGGATGGGCCCAGAAAAGTACCATAAATTCCTACTCTGGCCTGCTGGACTGGCAGTCTAAACCCTAGGCTTCAGGTATTCCCTGGCTTGAAGGTGGGACTTAACCAGGGACTTGCCCCTTTCCACCCAGGAGCCTGTCTGCCTCCTGCTGCTATTCATGGCAACCAGGTTGGTTGTGCTGAGGGATGCCTGCAGGCCAGTGCCAAGCTGCCCTCAGCCCCCCAGGCCTCCTTTATATGCTGCTCATTGGTGCCCAAATTCCAGAGGGGGCCCAGGGGTCGGGGGCTAGTGTGTCAGTGCTGCCCTGAGCATGTGCACACCTGGCTGCGTTGTGACAGCACCAGGGCTTGGCCTCTGCTCTGAGATCAGAGTCGGCACTGGGAGTGGGGAGAAGCCAGGCAGCAGGAGCAGGCACTTGTGAGCCTGTGGGGGAAGGGGCCTTCTCGGGCCCCCGAGAGTGCAGAGATGCCTAGGTCCACAGCCGTGGCTTGAGTGGCTACAGTTGCGCCCAGGAAGGTGGGGCTCCTGCCTGCTCACAGACATTAAGAGCATGGGGATGCCCAGATCCACAGCCTCAGCTGGGAGGCTGCAGCTGTGCCCAGGAAATGTGAAGCTCCCACACTGCCAACTCAGAAGCGGGGGCTTCTGCCTGTTCCCAGCTCTCGCCGGCTCCATGGAGCATCCAGCCCCAGCTGCACCTCTCTCACTGTACCCGGCGTCATGGCAGTGGCCACTCTAGACAGGCCGCCGCTGCCATCATCAGTATATATAAAATTCTGTTTTCATGTATTATTTCCTTAGGTATTTTAAATGCATTTGCTGCATTGGCATCTGGCATAGTCTGCAAACTTTGAAAAGAAAAATGTACTTTCAATTTCCTTTCCCTTTTAAGTGACTTGATGCTTTGTCTGGATCCAAGAGGCCATGTTTTTTCTCTTAAAATTTCAATAATCTTATCAGATTTTATCAAATCTTATTGTTGACTATCTGAATCAATGTTTCTTTAAAAATCCTTATTTAAAAATTTGTTTTTGTAGATACAGGGTTTAACCATGTTGCCCAGGCTGGTCTCAAACTCTTGAGCTCAAGCAATCCACTTGCCTCAGACTCCCAAAGTGCTGAGATTATAGGCATGAGCCACTGTGCCTAGCCAAACTTTGTTATTTTTAAAGAGATTATCCCCAATTTGGCTTTCTGAATTATTTTCAATCCCATTGTTTTTGTTTGTTCGTTTGTTTTCTTCCTTTCAGGAATTCCAAGTTTGCATTGGATCTTCTTGGCTTCGTTCTATATTTATTATTTTCTTCTTTTTTCTTTTCTGCTTAATTTTATTTTCCCTTTTCAATACTATATTTTTGTTGGATATTTGTCATTTCTGTATTTTCTTTTGTTCTATAATTGATTAATTTTTTTAAATATTGGCAACCTCTTTAATATATAGAGATTAGATGTTATAAAATAAAGACCCATTTGTCTAATATATACACAATATATACAGTATAGCAAAGTTAAATGAAATGCATGTAATATATAGGCAATGGATTAAGCTGAAATTTTCTAATAAACACTGGCAAAACACCTTTTTCAATTTCTTCCCTTCCACATTCCTCAATCCAATGAACAGGTACATAAAGTATGCTGTTCACAGAGGTGGTTCAACAATTCCACTTCCAAACAGCATTTCCCATCAGCTTTTAAAAGCTTTTTGCAAAACATGTCATTCTGTTACTATTAAATACATCAAGCACTTCCAAATATCTAGAAAGACTAGACATTTTATGTAACTTGTTCATGTACACAGCAGTGTTAAATAAAATTGCACACACATAACAATGGTTATAATCTGAGGTATCTTCTAAATGTGTGTTTTGGCCTTGACCATCACCCCCTCACCTCCTTCTCTCTGCTTTCAATCCAGTGGACAAGCACAGGCATGTGTAATGCTTAGAGATGGTTGAACAAATTCCTTTCCAAAAGTCATTTACAGAAGATAAGTTTTCCTATGAATTTCAACATAAGGCATACAAAATAGTTAATTTTACAAGACATACCCGAGACTGGAAAGAAAAAGAGGTTTAATTGGACTTATAGTTCCACATGGCTGGGGAGACCTCAGAAGCATGGCAGGAGGTGAAAGGCACTTCTTACATGGCAGCAGCAAGAGAAAATGAGGAAGAAGCAAAAGCAAAAAACCCCGTTAAACCCATCAGACCTCATGAGACTTATTCACTATCACAAGTATAGCATGAGAAAGACCGGCCCCCATGATTAAATGACCTCCCCCTGGGTCCCTCCCACAGCACATAGGAATTCTGAGAGAGAAAATTCAAGTTGAGATTTGGTTGGGGACACAGCCGAACTATATCATTCCATCCCTCACCCCTCCAAAAATCAAAAGCAAGCTAGTTACTTCCTAGATACAATGGTGATACAGGCATTAGGTAAATACAGCTGTTCCAAATGAGAGAAATTGGCTGAAACAAAGGGGTTACAAGGCCCATGCAAATCCAAAATCCAGAGGGGAAGTCAAATTTTAAAGCTACAAAATGATCTCCTTTGACTCCAGGTCTCACATCCAGGTCACACTAATGCAAAGGTGGGTTCTCATTTTCTTGGGCAGCTCCACCCCTGTGGCTTTGCAGGGTACAACCTCCTTCCTGGCTGCTTTCAGGGGCTGGCATTGAACATCTGCAGCTTTTTTAGGTGCACAGTGCAAGCAGTTGGTGGATCTACCATTCTGGGTTCTAGAGGATGGTGGCGCTCTTCTCACAGTTCCACAAGGTAGTGCCCCAGTAGAGACTAGGTGTGGGGGCTCCAACCCCACATTTCCTTTCTGCACTGCCCTAGCAGAGGTTCTTCATGAGGGCCTTGCCCCTGCAGCAAACTTTTGCTTACACATCCAGGCATTTCCATACAGCTTCTGAAACCTAGATGGAGGTTCCCAAACCTCAATTCTTGACTTCTGTGCACCTGCAGGCTCAACACGTGGAAGCTGCGAAGGCTTGAGGCTTCCACCCTCTGAAGCCACAGCCCAAGCTGTACGTAGGCCCCTTTCAGCAATGGCTGGAGTGGCTGGAACCCAGAGCGCCAAGTCCCTCTGCTGCACACAGCACAAGAACCCTGGGCCTGGCCCATGAAACCAGTTTTTCCTCCTGGGCCTTGGGGCCTGTGATGGTAGGGGCTGCTGTGAAGGTCTCTGACATGACCTGGAGACAGTTTCCCCATGGTCTTGGGGATTAACATTAGGCCCCTTTCTACTTATGCAAATTTCTGCAGCCGACTTGAATTTCTCCCCAGAAAATGGGTTTTTCTTTTTTATCATATAGTCAGACTGCAAATTTTGCAAACTTAATGCTCTACTTCTGAATGCCTTTAACAGTTACCTCTTGAATGCTTTGCTGCTTAGAAATTTCTTCTGCCAGATACACTGAATCATCTTTCTCAAGTTCAAAGTTCCACAAGTCTCTAGGGCAGGGGTAAAATGCCACCAACACTCTCTTTGCTAAAACATGACGAGTCACCTTTGCTCCAGTTCCCAACAAGTTCCTCATCTCCATCTGAGACCACCTCAGCCTGAATTTTATTGTCCATATTGCTATCAGCATTTTGGGCAAAGCCATTCAACAAGTCTCTAGGAAGTTCCAAGCTTTCCCATATTTTCCTGTCTTTTTCTGAGCCTTTCAAACTGTTCCAATCTCTGCCTGCTACCCAATTCCAATGCTTTCACATTTTTGGGTATCTTTTCAGCAACATCTGACTCTCGGTACCAATTTACTATATGAGTCTGTATTGACGCTGCTGATAAAGACATAACTGAGACTGGGAAGAAAAAGAGGTTTAATTGGACTTACAGTTTCACATGGCTGGGGAGACCTTAGGATCATAGCAGGAGGTGTAAGGCACTTCTTACACGGTGGGAGCAAGAGAAAATGAGAAAGAAGCAAAAGCGGAAACCCCTGATAAACCCATCAGATCTCATGAGACTTATTCACTATCACGAGAATAGCATGGGTAAGACTGGCCCCCATGGTTCAATTACCTGCCCCTGGGTCCCTCCCACAACATGTAGGAATTCTGGGAGATACAATTCAAGTTGAGATTTGGGCAAGGACACAGCCAAACCATATCACTGTCCTTTCCCCAACGTATGTCCTTAATGCCTTTGTCAAAAATGAGTTCAGTGTAGATGCATGTATTTATCTCTTGGTTCTCTATTATATTCCACTGATCTATGTGTCTGTTTTAATGGCAGTTTTATGCTGTTTTGGTTACTATAACTCTGTGTTGTAATTTGAAGTCATGTATTGTGATTTATACAGTTTTGTTCTGTTTGCTTAGGATAGCATTGGCTATATTGGATCTTTCATGGTTCCATATCAATCTTAGGATTCTATTTCTGTGAAGAATATTATTGGAATTTTTATCAGGATTGCACTAAATCTGTAGATTCCTTTGGCTAGTATAAACATTTTAACAATATTGATTCTTTCAGTCCATGAACATGGAATATTTTTCCATTTTTTTGGTGTCTCCAATTTCTTGCATCAGTGGTTTACAGTTTTCCTTGTAGAGATCTTTCACTTGGTTTGTTTAGGTTAATGACTAGGTATTTAATTTTATTCGTAGATATTGTAAATTGGATTACTTTCTTCATTTATTTTTCAGATTGCTTGCTGTTGGCATATAGAAATGCTATTTTTATACGTAGATTTTGTATCCTGCAACTTCAATGAACTTGTTTATCAATTCTCATTTTGCTGAAGTCTTTAGGTTTTTGAAATATAATATTATATTATCTACAAACAAGGATAATTTGACTTTTTCATTTCTAATTGGATGCCCTTTGTGTCTCTTGTCTGATTGCTCTAGCTAGAACTTGCAGTACTATGTAGAATATCAGTGGTTACAGCAGGCATCCTTGTTGTGTTCAGATCTTAAAAAGAAGGCTTTCAGTTTTTCCTCATTCAGTCTGATACTTGTGGGTCTGTCATATATGACTTTTATTATGCATAGTTATATTCCTTCTATACCCAGCTTTTTTGGGTTTTTATCATGAAGAGATGTTGAATTTTATCAAATGCTTTTTTAGCATCAATTGAAATGATCATATGGTTTTTGTCCTTCATTCTGTTTATATGATGTATCACATTGATTGATTGGCATATGTTGAGCCATTCTTGGATCAGAGAGATAAAATCCCACTTGGTCATGGTGAAATATCTTTTTAATTTATCTTTTTAATATATCATTGAATTCAGTTCCCTAGTACTTTTTTGAGGATTTTTGCATCAATATTCATCAGTGAAATTGGTCTATAGTTTTCTTTTTTTAAATGGGTCTTCTTCTGGTTTCAGTATCAGGGTAACACTGATCTTGTAGAATGAGTTTGAAAGTATTCTCTATTTTTCTCACTTTCAAAATAGTTTGAGCAGAATTGGTATTAGCTTTTCTTTTAATGTTTGGTGAAATTCAGCAGTGAAGTCTTTAGGTCCTGAGCTTTTCATTGCTGAGAGGCTTTTTATTATGGCTTTGATCTCATTACTTGCTATTGGTCTGTTCAAGTTTTGTATTTTTTCATGGTTCAATCTTGGTACGTTGTATGTGCCTAGAAATTTATTCATTCTTCAAGTTTTCCAATTTATTGGCATATAGTTGCTCATAGTGGCCACTAATGATCCTTTGAAGTTCTGCAGTATCAGTTGTAATGTCTCCTTTTTCTTCTCTAGTTTTATTTATTTGGGGCTTCTCTCTTTATTTCTTAGTCTGGCCAAAGGTTTGTCAATTTTGTTTATCTTTTCAAAAAACAAACATTTGGTTTCATTGATCTTTGTTTTATTTTATTCATTTCAATTTCATTTATTTTTGCTCTGACCTTTATTATTTCTTTTTCTAATTTTGGGCTTGATTTGCTCTTACTTTTCTAGTTCTTTAAAATGAAACAGGTTATTTGATTTTTTTTCTTTGTTGATGTAGGCACTTATAGCTATAAAATTCCCTGTTAGTACTGCTTTTGCTGTATCCCTTAGACTTTGTATGTTGTGTTTCCATTATCGTTTGTTGCAAGAAATTTTTTTATTTCCTTCTTAAATTCTTCATTGACCCACTGGTCTTTCAAAAGCATATTGTTAATTTCTATGTATTTGCATCATTTCCAAAATTCCTGTTGTTATTGATTTCTAGTTCTATTCCATCGTGGTCAGAGAAGATGCTTGATATTATTTCAATATTTTTGAATGTTTTAAGACTTATTTTGTGGCCTAACATATAGTCTGTCCTTGAGAATGATCCATATGCTGAGGAAAAGAATGTGCATTTTGCTGCCATTGAATGAAATGTTCTGTATCTCTTATGTCCATTTGATCTATAGTACAGATTAAGTCCAGTTTATTTGCTGATTTTCTGTCTGGAATATTTGTCCAATCTTGAATGTATGATGTTGAAGTTGCCAACTATTACTGTATTGGGGCCTATCTCTCTCTTTAGCTCTAGTCATATTTGTTATATATATATGTTTTATATATATATATATGTGTGTGTGTGTGTCTGTGTGTCTGTGTGCATGTGCTCCAGTGCTGGCTGGGTTCATATATATTTACAATTGTTATGTCCCTTTGTTGAATTGACCCTTTATTATTATATAGTGACCTTCTTTGTCTGTTTTTACAGTTTTCGTCTTGAAATCTATTTTGTCTTCTACAAAAATAGCTACTTCTGCTCTGCTTTGCTTTCCATTGGCATGGAATATCTTTCTTCCATTTCTTTATTTTTAGTCTATGTGTTTATATAGGTGGTGTGTTTCTTGTAGGCAACAGATCTTTCGGTCTTATTTTAAAAATTCATTCAGCCACTCTGTTTTTTATTGAAAAGTGTAGTCCATTTGCTTTCAATGTTATTATTGATAAGTAAGGACTAACTCCTGCTATTTGATTATTTGTTTTTTGATTGTTTTGTGGCCTTCTCATCCTTCTTATCTTCCTTTTAGTGAAGGTGGTTTCTCTGGTGGTATTATTTAATTTCTTGCTTTTATTTTTTGTATATCTGTTGTATATTTTTTCATTTGAGGTTACCATGAGGCTTGCAAATACTATCTTAAAACCCATTATTTTCAGCTTATAACAACATAATACTGTTTGCATAAACAAACCGACAAGCAGAAAAGAAACCTAAAAAGTCTCTCCACCTTAGCTTTGTATTGGTGCTTTTTAAATTTTTGTTTCTATTTATACTTTATTTTAGTTTCTATGTCATGAGTTGTTATAGTTATTTTGATCAGTTCATCTTTTAGTCTTTCTTCTTCAGATATTAGTAGTTTGCACACCACAGTTACCGTGTTATCATATCCTGTGTTTTTCTGTGTATTTACTATTATCAGTGAGTTTTATACCTTCAGGTGATTTCTTATTGTGCATTAATGTCCTTTTCTTTCTTATTAAAGTGTTCCCTTTAGCAATTTTTGTAGGACAGAACAGGCATTGATGAAATTCTTTAGCATTTGTTCATCTGGGAAAGTCTTTATTTCTCCCTCATGTTTGAAGGATATTTTCACTAGATATACAACTCTAGGGTAAAACTTTTTTTGCTTCATCACTTTAAATATATCATGACACTCTTTCTTGGCATGTAAGTTTTCTAGATGCATTGGAGCTTTATTATATGTTATTTGTTTCTTTTCTTTTGCTATTTTTAGGATTCTTTCTTTATCCTTGACCTTTGAGGGTTTGATTATTAAATGCCTTGAACTAGTCTGCTTTGGGTTAAATGTCCTTGATGTTCTACAACCTTCTTGTATTTGGATATTGATACCTTGCTCTAAGTTTGGGAAAATTCCTGTTATTATTTATTTAAATAAACTTTATGCCCCTTTCTCTTTCTCTACCTCCTTTATAAGGCCAATACCTCTTTAATTTGCCCTTTTGAGGCTAATTTCTAGATCCTGTAAATATATTTCTTTGTTTTTTATTCTTCTTTCGTCTCCTCTGACTCAGTACTTTCAAAGAGCCTGTCTTCAAGCTCATGAATCCTTTCTTTTTCTGCTTGATCAATTCTGCTACTAAGACTCTGATATATTCTTTAATATGACCATTTTATTTTTCAACTCAAGAATTTGTGTTTGATTCTTTTTAATTATTTCAATCTCCTTGTTAAATTTATTGACTATAATTCTGAATTTATCTTCTGTGTTACCTTGAATTTGTATGCATTTCCTCAAAACAGTTATTTTAAATTCTCTGTCTGAAAAATCATATCTGTTATTCCAGGATTAATCCTGGTGCCTTATTTAGTTCATTTGGTGAGTTTATCTTTTCTCGATAGTCTTGATATTTTTAGATGTTCACCTGTGTCTCAGCATTGAAGAGTTGGGTATTTATTGTTGTCTTTGAAGTCTGGGCTTGTTTGTACCTGACTTTTTTGGGAAGGCTTTCAAGGTATTTGAAAGGACTTCGGTGTTATGAGCTAAGCTGTATCTACATTCGGGACACTCCATGCCCAGTAACACTGTGGTTCCTGCAAACTCATAGAGGTATTACCTTGATGGTCTTGGATAAGGTCTGGAAGAATTATCTGAATCACCAGGCATAAACTCTTGTTCTGTTACTTTATTTTCTCCAATCAAATGGAGCCTCTCTTTCTCTGTCTGAGCCTTGTGGAGCTGGGGGTTGGGTGACACAATCACCACTGTGGCCACTACCACTGGGACTGCACTGGGTCCCACCAGAAGCTAGAACAGCACTGGTTCTCACCCAAGGCCTGCGGTAGTTACTACCTGGATACCACCTATGTTCACTCAAGGCCCTGTGGCACTAGTCAGCAACTGGTAAAGCCAGCCAGTCTTGTATCCTTCCCTTCAGGGTGGCAAATTCCCCCTGGTCCCTGACAGGTCCAGAGGTGCTGTCCAGGAGCCAGGGACGAGTGTAAAAAACCTTAGAAGTCTCGTGATGTTCTATTGTACTGTGGCTGAGCTGTGACTCAAACTATGAGCTGCTGTCCTTTCCACTCTTCCATTCCATTTCCACAGGTAGAGAAGCCTCACCCCATGGCCACTACTACTATAAGCCCATTGGGGGAACTGCAAGGCTACCACCAGTGTTCCCTTCAAGGCCCAAGGTCTTTCAGTCAGCTTGTGGTGAATGCTGGTAGGCCTGGGATTCATTCTTTAGAGCAGTTGGCTCCCCTTTGGCCTAGGGCAGATCCGGAAATGCTGTTCACGAGCCAAGGCCTGAAATTGGGGACCCCAAGAGCATGCTTGGTGCTCTACCCACCTGTGCAAGACAAAGTTCCCCTTATTTTCCTTCTGATTTACTCAAGTGGAAGAAGCCTCTCCCTGTAGTCATCATAGCTGGGAATATGCTGAGTCTCACCTGAAGCCAGCAAGTGTCACAGTCTTGTCCAAGGCCCATGGCGTATTACCTGGGTATCACTGCTGGTTATTCAGGGCCCAAGGGCTTTTCAGTCAGTGGGTGATGGTTCCTAGAAGGACTAAGTCGTTTCCTTCAAGACAGTGGATTCCCTTCTAGCACAGGTTATGTCTAGAAATGTCATTCAGGAACCAGGGCCTCACAGCTCTGATGGGTGCACTATCCTGCTGTGGCTGAGCTGGTAACCAAGATGCAAGACAAAGTCTTCTTTGCTGTTCCCTCTCCCTTCCTCAAGCAGAAAGACGGGCTCTCTTTTGGAGCTATGAGCCATGCTGTATGGGGTTAGGGCAGGGGTAGCACAAGCACTGTCTTAGCCACCCTGGCTGGCATCTCACTAGGTCATGTGCCCCCCAAGTCCACTCACTTTGAGCCCAATTCAGCACTAAGACTTGCCTAGGAGTTGCAGCCCTTGTGGACAAGACTGCCTTTAAGGAATATGTAAGGCCTCAAAGCACTGTAGCCCACAGTGGCTAGGCTTGTCAGAATTCAAGTTTTGATTGCTGGGATGGGTAATATTCCTCTGGCTAGGGCTGGTTTACATGCTCCCTTTGTGGGCAGGCATCAGGTGAGTTCAGCTAAGTTTTGCTTTCTGCTGTGACAGGGCAGCACTGAGTTCAATGCAACGTCTCACAATTGCTGCACTCTCTTTCCCCCAATCACACAGACTCTCTCTCCATGCCACATGGCCACTATGGTCACCACTACAAGATTGGGGAGGCAGCGCATTGGCAATTTAAGACTATCTTTCCTACCCTCTTCAATGCCTCTTTCAGTAATGTAGAGTTAAAACCAGCTACTGTGAGTGCTCACCTGATTTTTGGTTCTTATGAAGATGCTTTTTGTGTGTGGATAGTTGTAATATTAGTGTATTTGTAGGGGGACAATGGTGGACTCCTCTATTCTTCCATCTTGCTCCACCCCTTCTAATATATTACTTTAAAGCAATTTAATACCTATAATGCTGGATATTTTAGAAATTATTTTCCTTTCTTATAGGTCCAGTTTTTAGGTGTGACTGACACATTGGTAAGAGTCTGGAGATAAAAATGCTTATTATAACAAACTAATGATGAGGAATATGGCTCAGATTTCTCTCTTCATGAAGGTCAACAAAACCGTATGGCTATATTGAAGGTAAAATGTAGGTAAATTAGTTTGTCTGTGGTTAAAGTTACTAGTGCTATGTAATGTAGTATAATTCTAGATAAGTTAGGGTAAGAAATGAAGATAAGCAGATAGTTAAGGTAGTTGTGTGAAACCAAAAGGTTAAATTCAACATTCTAATTCCATAGTTTCTTTAATACTAAAAAAGATAATAACCACATTTTTGAGACTACAATAATAGTATTCATAACTATATTTCTTTTAAAACTTCCTGCAGCTAAAATAAAGTTTATTTTAGTTACTTCAGAACCAATGAACTCTGAAGACAATAAATAGGATTAAGGAATTAAAATGTTTATCTGTCAACTTCTGAGCTTTGGAGTTGAAAGTAGGTAGTTTAGCATCAAATGGCATTGCTCTGTTCCTCCTTTTAATAAGCTGCTGTCCTTGATTTTGCTTTTCAAGTGATTGCATTGATTTTACACTAGGTGATAAAAAGGCAGAAGAAAAAATGAGAAAAATGTGAAGAATAGCAGAGGCAAATTAAAGGCTGCCAGAAATGAATGAATCATTTTTTTTTAAAAAAACAGCAATCAAATAGAGTTAGTGCTGTAAAACAAAACAAAGGGTGGACATAAAAGATTTATGAAAACATTTCATATTTTAATAAAATGTAAACATTCTCTTTCATTTTTTATTATAAAATAATTTCATTTATATTGAAATATTCCATTATATTATTTTAAAAGAAATTGACCTCTAGTTGATAATTTTAAAGCTAGTATATGTAGAATGAATTAATTAATGTTGTAAATATTTAAATTAAGCCTCACTTGGCAATATAATCTTTTTCAAAATTAAGATAGTCTATTTAATTACTTTAGGAATTACTGGATATTCCAGTTAAAAGCAAGATACTTGACATGAGAAGATAATTGGGAGTATAAAAGTTTAAATCCTTTGTACAACCCTTTTTACTAATCACCTATTATCATAGAAATGTACTGTGATAGACCCCTAGACACAAATGTCAATAATACAAAGTCATGTGAGAAAAGTGGCTAAAACTTTAAAATGTGGAGTCAGCTATATGATTTGGCAGGGGGAGGGATCATAATAAATGGGATTGTTAAGAAATATTTCTAGAGAAGCTACTATAAGTTCCAAAAGAGAGATAGGTGTCCAGTCAAGGAAAAAACAAAATGTTGTAGGTCAACATAGAGTCTACATAAGAAATAGGAATTGATTATTTTTAAATGTAAAATAAAGCCAGGTGAAAATGTCACATTAGTAATATCTGACTAAGTAATTTGCTATTGATAGTAGCAACATATGAAATTTTTTAAGACTAGTGTGTTCAGAATGATGCCAAAAAGACTAGTGTGTTCAGAATGATGCCAAAAAAATTGAAGAGTGAATTGGAAGAGACTGAAAGCTAGAAAAATTAGTGGAAAGGTGTTGAAATAGTGAAATGGTGAAAATATATGGCATTGAGAGCCTGGTATTGAGTCATGGTATGCATAGACTCTTCAGAAAGTATGAGTATTCTAAGATTGAGCAAACAAGTAAATATATGCAATAGAAGCTATGTTTCTCACTTCAGAGAAGGGAGTTATAAATACAAAAATGGAGGGGGATCAAAGGTACCTTGTGTGTGGATGTGCATGCATTTATGAACGCACACACATACAAACAATCACACGCATACATAAGTATACATGTATTTCTTGGCTTAGTCCTTTTTTTTTTTTTTTTTTTTTTTGCTTTGAGGAGTCTCGTTCTGTAGCCCAGGATGGAGTGCAATGGTGTGATCCCTGCTCACTGCAACCTCCGCTTCCCAGGCTCAAGCTATTCTCCTGCCTCAGCCTTCCAAGTAGCTGGGATTACAGGCACATACCACCATGTCCAGCTAATTTTTGTATTTTTAATAGAGACGGGGTTTCGCCATGTTGGTCAGGCTGGTCTCGAACTCCTGACCTCAGGTGATCAGGCCACCTCGGCCTCCCAAAGTGCTGGGATGACATCACGCCTGGCCGGCTTAGTCCTCTTAGAGGGTGGAGAATCACTGACACCCTAAGAGCAGTGAGCATATTTAGCTCTCAGAACCCAGATTTAATTTCTAAACCAACTGAAAGTAAGCAGAATTCTGATTCAAGGCTGGTTCAGGGGGAGTACCAAAACCCCTTGGAACATCTTGGTCTGCCAGAAACAAGGAAATACTCAAACAATGATGTAGGCCTATTAAAAGAACAGAAGAGTTAGCTTGAAGTGCCTCTACTGGCCAATTTATCAGTACTTCGAGTATCAAAACATAGTAACAGATTATAGCACACTAAACAATTTAAAGAATCCTTAAATAAATGCAAAGAGGAGAAAGCTATCCATCCATTGCAACAAACCGAGAACTAATAAATAAATGTATGAGTAGTGAAGGAATGAGAAAACCCTTTCAGGCTTTAATAAACTCCACAAAATACTCTTGGTAAGTTAAGCAATTTAATAGTTTCTGTTCAGCTGGTAGTGGCATATCACTCTGGAGTCTGACCTGGATAAAACTGTCTGCAGGTATGTACAATTTTTAGATTGCTAGATTTACCCTACGTAAACATGAGTAAAATTGATATAATTAGAAGGAAAACCTTTAGTCACTGTAACTTTTCTATCACATGTAACTTTCAAACTCATACATAAACTCTCATTAGTAAAAAATTGCTTGAAAAACACCTTACACCAGTGTCCTCATACTGTGTGTGTGTGTGTATATATATATATATATATATATATATATATATATATATATATATGAACTTTAATCTAGATAAGGGCTACTATTTTCATTCTACTCAAAGTAGAAAATCTGATAAATGCTGGTGTTTCTTTACTGACAATGTTATCACAGAAGAGCAAGCAAAAGTTAACAGAACTGCTTTTGTGAACAATTCTCACAAAAAAAGGAAATTCTGGTAGGTAAAGTGAAAGTGATGGAAACATTTGGAGATACTAATCATATCACTAAACTGTCTGAAATAGCTGTGAAAGGTAACATTCATCACTGTCTGGCTTGCACAGTAAATGTTAGGAAGGAACACTGGAAGATTTTAAGGGTAATTTTCAAACTTATCTCATCATAGAAAATTTATGTTTCTGAAAAATGCATTTTTGATGTTGGGCTTTAAAATTTTTCAGGTTTCCCATTTACAAAATAGTCTGAAGCTCCTAGCCAGACACTTCAGGCACTTATTGGACTGGTCTTGCCAAATATTTCACCAGTCTGTCAACTACCCCAATGTCCCACTTAATCCCTAGAAATATACATACATGCCACCATCAACCCACTACATACATAACATACATGCACATGTAGAAAATTCATAAATCTCTCTTCCAGGCATTTTGCACTTGTAATCTCCTAAACAGGTCTTGCTCTGTGTCATCTCTGTGCCTCTGGAAATTCCCTCTATTTGGAATGTCTTCCCACACCAACTTATCTAATTGCCAAATTCTATTTTTCCTTCAAGATTTCTAATATTTTTGTTTTCATACAGTCTTTTTTGTCTTCTTCTAAGATCCAGTTAGTCACTGCACCTTCCTTGTTCAGAATAGTTTCTGCACACATTTTTCAGTGCATATTTAAGAGTTTCAAAAAACTATATACACATTTCTGTCTCTTTTATATTATGAGTTTCTTAATTTTAGGGACGTGATTTTATTCTCCTTTGACTTCTCGATCACACTCACACTGTATGTGTCAGACTCAATCAATGTTTGTTTTTGCAAGACTCAAAATCTATATTATGATTATATAATTACCAAAATATAGACTTTATTAAGACAAAGAACAGTGCTTGGTACTTAGCAGTTATTTGGTAAGCATTATTTGAATAAATATATATTGAATATTCACAAATCCTGTCAAGGAAGGAGAAGAGAAGTGGACATCAATATAATATAGATTATCAGACTTCTGCATGGAATGTCCTGGCAAGCTCAGCTTTCTAAAAAAGTATTATTAATTTTTAGTTGACAAATGCAGAATTCTATATATTAATAGTGTGGAATATGGTTTTAATATATGTGTCCATTGTGAAATGATTAAATAAAACTAATTAACCTATCCATCACCTCACATAATTGCCACTATTTTGTGATGAGAACATTTAAAATCTACTTTCAGCAATTTTCAAGTTTACCATAAGAGGTCAAATTCAGAAGATGTCACTTAGGAACAGCTAACTAGAATAGAAATGATTGGTTATATAAAACTGTACAAATTTGGACAGGATTGTAGTAACAAAGTAACTGAAGTTTATTACAAATGCTAAGAACAGATTTCCATATAAAGAACTCAAGTTGTGGCCAGGCGTGGTGGCTCACACCTGTAATCCCAGCAGGTGGGCTGATCATGAGGTTAGGAGATCGAGACCATCCTGGCTAACACGGTGAAACCCCGTTTCTACTAAAAATACAAAAAAAAAAAAAAAAAAAAAAAAAAAAAAACAAATTAGCTGGGCGTGGTGACGGGCTCCTGTAGTCCCAGCTACTCGGGAGGCTGAGGCAGGAGAATAGCATGAACCTGGAAGGCAGAGCTTGCAGTGAGCAGAGATCGCGCCACAGCACTCCAGCCTGGGCGACACAGCGAGACAAAAATTCAAGTTGTCATTTATTTCATTGTCAGGACTGAAATTGAGATTAAAACCTCAGCTTAATTTAAGATGTAATTGAAAGTTCTTGATTTCATTGTGCAAGAAAGGACCTCAAAAATGACAGCCTATATACAAGACATACTTCCATTAAAAATCATGAAAAGATTCAGGTGTTCTAATTCCAGAATAAAATGAGAAACTATTTTATAAGAATAACTTATAAATATCTACAGAAACTGAGGAGGGAAAAAAAACAGTCTAAGAAGGCTTATTCCAAGGTCAAATTAGACTTATATTTTAATAAAGTTCAGGGACAACTTGATTACTTTACAAAATCCTTATAATACTTCTTAGGTATATTTTTAGTGACCTCTATTTTTGTGGTTATTATTTTTTTAAACTAAAATTTATCAAAGTAATTGCACAATTGTTTTAGAGAAATAGAGCATAAGAAAATGCTTCTCAGTAATAAAGTAAACTGGAGAAGTAATAATCCAAAACAGGAGACAGTAAGAAATTAGAAGAGAAGTGATAGATGCTATTACTCACAGGAAGAAAAAGGAAAGTAGCAAATGGGCAGATAATCTAAGGGAAAACTCACAGAGGCAAAACATAATGAAAGCCTGGAGTTTTTATCCAGCAGATGTTTATTTTAGGAACAGAGACAGAAGAAAACCAAGAAAGAGACAAGCCATTGCTTAGTGCAGAGAGAATACAAATGTAGGACCATTATTTTGCTTCTCCATTCTCATTCAAGAAAGAGATTTTATAATTAGATTTGTTAAAGTGTGCACATAACCAAGATAGGCAAAAAGCTAGTAATATTGCAAAAAGATTTTAGGAAGCTTACAAAAACTAATAAATTTTAGGTGTGTGAAAATGAGTTGATATCTGCATCTGCTAGGAATAATGGATTTGTAAGTTTCTGACTTATCTTCCTACTGAGACCAACTTAGAAAAATGTAGACAAGGCTGGGCGGGGTGGCTCACACCTGTAATCGCAGCACTTTGGGAGGCCGAGGCAGGTGGATCACCTGAGGTCAGGAGTTCAAGACCAGCCTAACGAACATGGTGAAACCCCGTTTCACCTGAAAATACAAAAATTAGCCAGGCATGATGGTGCATGCCTGTAATCCCAGTTACTCAGGAGGCTGAAGCAGGAGAATTGCTTGAACCCAGATAGCGGAGGTTGCAGTTAGTTGAGATCATGCCATTGCACTCCAACCTGGGCAACAAGAGCAAAACTCCACCTCAAAAAAAAAAAAAAAAGAAAAATGTAGACAAAATGTAACACATACACACACACACACCCCCTTGCCTGTTTGAAGAGGCATTAGAGAGGTAAGGGTCAAGACCTTACACAGCACAGCAGAGCCCAGGGAGTTGAGCCCAACATTAGACATTGCTTTTTCCATTAAAGGATTCAAAGATTCAATAGTGGCAGCAAATAAGTTAAGAGTCCAAAAGCATAATTATTACTTTTTGAACTTGCATAGGTCTGCATGAAAGGAAAAGTGTACATAGAGTCTACCAAGGAGAAGGAGCTCTGGGAAACATCCAAGGTTTGCATTTGAAACCTTCAAAGGGCCACACCTGAGTATGAGATAAAATGGAAATAGACCAGCCCTCACAAAGACTAAAGTCGAGCTTTGCATCATCTCAATCTATAACTGGAAAAAGATTGGGAACCAAAGTAAATATTATAGAGAAGATGGCATTAAACAAGGTCCCAAGTTGTCTCTACAATTTTTTATACATAACATCCACAAGTAAATCAAAATAACTAGACATGAAAAATGATAAAACTTGGATGAAAATCAAGAGAAAAGAGTAACATGGAGAAAGGTCAAAAACAGATACAGATCTTGTAGTTATCAGACATGGAATTTAAACTAACAACAATTACTATGTTTACGAAATTAAATGATAGGATGGAGAATTAAATAAATAAATAGAAATTTTAAATAAATGGAAGTTTAGAACTAAACTCAAAATTACTGAAATTAAATGATGGACAATAGGAAAAAAGAATAAGACACACAGAGACAGGTGTAAAGAATTAAATACATGTAGCTTGACAGTCAGAAATAGAGGAGGTATAGAAAGGGACAGAGCACTTTTTAAATGTATAATGGCTGAGAATTTTCCAAAGCTGACAAGAGACATTCAGAAAGAATATGAACACCAAGTCTAAATCCACCTACAAATACACATAGGCATTAAAATATACCTAGACACCTCATAATCAGGCTACTGAAAACCAAAGACAAAGAGACAATTTTAAAAGGAGTCTGAAGGATAAGAACATAAACCTTCAAAAGAAGAGTATTAATACTGACAGGTAATTTCTCAAAAGAAACAGTGGAAACCAAAATAGAATTATAGCTTTAACTGCAGAAAGAAAATAACTTTCAATATGGACTTCTACATACAGCAAAAATTATCCTTTATAAATTAAGGCAAAATAGAGACTGTTTTAGGCAAACAAAAAATTGAGAAAATCTATCACCCATGAACACACATTAAAGAGAACACTAAACTGCGGTCATAGAAACAATATTTCCAAGTGAAAACATGAGTATTCAGAAAAGGATAAAGATAATTGAATTTTAAAAGTAAATAAATGGCTAAGTGAAAATAACATACTATTGTATCTATCTAGCTTAAAACAGATAGTTAAGATCTATAAAAATTACAGCACAAAATATGGAAAAGTATCAAATGTAATTGAGTTTCAATATCTTTGCATTGTTCATGATGTGAACCAAGTACTAATATGTCAGACTTGATGAATCAATGGCTATAAAAAGTTGTGTAGAGAAGAAAAATAAAATACTACATAAAATAATACAAAAATAGCAATAAAGGGAGGAGTAAAGGAAGGATAGTTGGGAAAACAGTAAACAAATAGTAAGATATTAGAGATAAATACAATTATTGAATGGACTAAAGCACTAATTAAAATATGAAATGTTCAGGAAAAGTTGGCATAAATATGTTGATTATAAGAAGATTACAGATAGGCTGAAATAAAAGTATAGAAAATATATATTATGCAAAGATTAATTTTAAAAAGCTGTCCAAAAGAGCAAACTTTAAAGTAAAACATATTATTAGAGATATGGTGTAACATATGATGATATAAGGGCTAGTTCAACAGAAAGATGTATGAGCTCATGTTCTTTTAATGGAAGAATGAATACGGGTTTGAGTTTTTATTTTTTTATTTTCTTATCTATTCATTATTTATTTATTTTTGCAGTGTAAAAAATTATTCAAAATGTAAACCTGTGATCCAACAATTTGATTACTACGTATTCACTCAAAATAAATTTTCCTATATGTCAGTAAAATAAAATTTACATACAATCAGTACTTCTAAAAGCCCCCAAATAAATACCACTAATATGTGCATTTGCAGTGAAATAACTAAATTAATTGTTTGATGTTCAGATGATAGAATTCTATCACCAATTCTAATGAATTAACCACAACAGCATGCAAAGATACAGACAAATTTCCAAACATATGGAATTTTAAATCTACATACACAATATTCATACTATATGATTCTATATATATAAACTACAAAAGAGCTGAAAAGTACAGATGATCTATACCATAGTAGTGCTTGGAAAAGGCAAAAGTGTCTGATGTGGAGAGACTGACAATGTTGTGTTTTTCAATCTAAAAATGCATACAGAGGTGTCTTCAGGTTATAAAATTTCATTAGCTTGTCCACTCGAGGCCTGTCTAAATATCCCAATATTTTTATACAAATATATTTTCCATTTTAAAAAATTTGCAGACTGTAAATAGATTCATGATTTAATGTCCTTTTATTGTCCAGATGGAAAGTATTAAATAACTGTACACTGATTAATATTTCATTTTATTTTATAGTTTCAATTTTTATTTTAGATTCATGGGGTATATGTGCAGGTTTGTTACCTGGGTATACTGCATGAGGCTGAGGTTTGGAGTATGATTGATTCCATCATCCAGGTACTGAGCATAGTACTCAATAGTTTTTCAACCCTTCTTCTTTTCCCTGCTTCCTCTCTCTAGTAGTCACCAGCTTCTATTGTTGCTGTCTCTACAAACACGTGTCTCCACGTCACTTATAAGTGAGAACATGCGGTATCTAGTTTTCTGTTCCTGTGTTATTTTGTTTGGATAATAGCCTCCAGCTGCATCCATGTTGCTCCAAATGATATGATTTTTTTCTTTTTTATGGCTGCGCAGCCTTCCATGTTGTATATGTACCATGTTTTCTTCATCCAATCCACCATTGATGGGCACCTATGTTGGCTCCATGTCTTTGCTATTGTGAATAGTGCTGCAATGAACATACAAGTGCATTTGTATTTTTGGTAGAATGACTTATTTTATTTTGGGTATATACCCCGTAATAAGGTTGCTAAGTCAAAAGGTAGTTCTGTTTTACGTTCTTTGAGAAATCTTCAAACTGCTTTCCACAGTGCCTGAACTAATTTACATTCCCACCAGCAGTGTATAAGAATTCCCTTTTCTCCACCTCACCGGCATCTGTTGTTTTTCAACTTTTTAGTAATAGCCATCTGACACATGTGAGATGGTATCTCATTGTGGTTTTGATTTCATTTCTCTGATGATTAGTGATGAAGAGCCCTTTTTCATATGTTTGTTGCCTGCTTGTATGTCTTCTCTTAAGAAGTGTCTCTTCATGTCTTTTGCTCATTTTTTAATGGGATATTTGTATTTTGCTTATTCAACATTTAAGTTCCTTATAGACTCTGGATATTAGACTTTTGTAGAAAGCATAGTTTGTGAATATTTGATGCAGTTTAGATATGTGTACTCACTCAAATCTCATGTTGAATTCTATTCCCCAGCATTGGGGCTGGGGCCAGGTTGGAGGTGACTGGATCATGGGGTTGAGTTTCTCATGAATGGTTAGGCACCATCCACTTGGTGTTGCCCCCACAATACTGAGTGAATTCTCACAAGATATGGTTGTTTAAATGTGTGCGTCACCTCCCACTCTGCCTCTCTTGCTCCCGCTTTCACCACGTGATACACTTGTTCCCCTTTTGCCTTCTGCTATGATTGCAAGCTTTCTGAAGCCATCTCGGAAGCTACGGCTATGTCAGCATTATGCTCCCTGTAAAGCTTGAAGAACCATGACCAATTAAACCTCTTTTCTTTGTAAATTATTGTGTCAAGTATTTGTTTATAGCAATGTTAGAATGGCCTAATACAATATTTCTCCTATTCTGTAGGTTGTTTTTTTACTGTATTGATAGTTTCTTCTGCTGTACAGAATTTCCTTGGTTTTATTAGGTCTCACTTGTCAATTTTTATATTTGTTCTCATTGCTTTTGAGGACTTAGTCATAAATTCTTTCCCAAAGACAATGTCCAGGATGGTGTTTCCTAGGTTTTCTTCTGGGATTCTTGTAATTTTAGGTCTTAGATTTAAATCTTTAATACATCTTGAGTGAATTTTTGTATATAGTAAAAGTTAGGGCCCAGTTTCATTTTTCTGCATGTGACTAGCCATCTATCCCAACACCATTTATTGCAAAGTGTGTCCTTTCTCCATTGCTTATTTTTCTCAACTTTGTCAAAGATCTGATATCTGCAGATGTGAAGAGTTTTTTAAAAATATATTTTTATAGTAATAAAAGTAAATCCACTGCTACATACAATAGCACGGAAGAATAATATAAACATAATATGGAGTTATAGACCATAAAGTTCCATTCATATGCTCTCTGTTAATTATGATGTTAAAAATCAAGATATTGATTGATTGATTGACTTTAAGAAGAGAGTGGTATGGATTAAGGGAGATTCTGGGAGCATCTGCACTGCTGGTACTGTCCCAGTTCTCATTCTGAGTGCCATTCCACAGGCATGTTCCCAGTGTGCTAATTAATTAAGTTATACATTTATGAGTTATGTTTCTGTACATACATCATACTTAATAAGTATTAAATAGTAAATTGGTATGATCTCACTTTTATGTGTATCTGAAGAAGTCAAACTCAGAGAAGCAGAGAGTAGAGTGGGGTTGTCAGTGTCTATGGATTGAGGGAAACAGGGTAATGTTGGTTAAAGGGTATAACTTTCAGTTATAAGATGAATGAATCCTGAGGATCTAATGAACAGCATGGGTGGTGATAGATGTGTTAATTAATTTGATTGTGGTAATCATTACACAATGTGTGTGTGTGTGTGTGTGTGTGTATATATATATATATATATATATATATATCTTCACATGATATCCTTGAATATATTGTCTTTATAGGTCACCAAAATATTGTAAAATTAAAAATACAAGAAAAATAAAAATGTAAAAGACTAATTTATTCAGGTTAACATAATGCCAGAAGTAATGTTAACATATCATACAAAATGCATATAATAAGTGTCTATACATTTATGAAAGGGGAAGATGGTAAAAAAATGATTTGAATATTTTTAGCAATCAGAATTAAAAATGCAGCATGGCCCAAATACCAGATTTACGGTGTTCATGAGTTGTAGACAAACTGTGGCTCAAAGTATTTCAAATATTCCAGGTACAGAAACCACAGAGAAAATTTTTGTTAAAAAATTCACAATGTACTGAATGCTATCTATCTTCAACAACAATTTAAAAGTAAATATATAAATAAATTTCAAAAACTCATAGCTCAATTAATTTTAAAAAACCTATATGGATGTAGGGAAAAGGAGTAAATAAAATCTCATCATAAAATTTTAAAAACTCTGATTCTTTGATTTATCCAGGGAGAGATTTAAACATGTCACTAAAAAAGATCTGATCAAAATGTTCTTTTAATCCAACTTTTATCAGTCATCACTGTCAAGGTCACACTTCCTAACAAATATTTGGAATGCAGCTATTTTGTGCTGCCAGTTTGTGCTAAGCCATATGCTACAACAATCAATGAAACAGAAGGTGAGATTAACAACCACTATGAAATGTGAGGGGCCTAAAAAGGACAGGTGCCTGACCAGAAGGCCACAGATATTCACTCAGAGGTGGACCCAAATAATTTCTACCAAGGTTCTCCTAAAAAATTAAAAGCTTGTGGGCTGTTCCAGCGCATCTAGGAATAGGTGATAATGTCCTCAAATTCTGTGCATTATAGGAAGATTGGAAAAGTTTGATCTGAAAGTATTTAAATAAATGAAACACCTCCATTGTTATTTTTAATCCTCTTCTACCACCACCACACTGGCAGTAGACGCTACTAAACATTCACTATGTCACTCACCGTAAGAGCTTATATACTCATTTAGTATCAATTTAGCACATCTCAAACATCTCAATAGTAATGACAATGATAATAGTTACCAGACAATAAACACTAAAGAGGCAGTCTAGCAATAGTGTGTCACTGTGCTGTGCTGCGCTGCGCTGTGGGGAATTCCTCCAAACTGTCCAGTCTCCCCGGCACCCACAGGGGAAAAATGGCAGACTGGAGCTCCAGTGATGGCTGCAGGAAACAACATATGCTGGAAAGGCTGTGGAGAAATAAGAACGCTTTTACACTGTTGGTGGGAATGTAAATTAGGTCAACCATTGGGGAAGACAGTGTGGCAATTCCTCAAAGACCTAGAACCAGAAATACCATTTGACCCAGCAATCCCGTTACTGGGAATATACCCAAAGGAATATAAATGATTCTGTTATAAAGACACATGAACACATATGTTAATTCCAGCACTATTCACATTAGCAAAAACATGGAATCAACCCAAATGTCCATCAGTGATAGACTGGATCAAGAAAATGTGATTCATATACACCATGGAATACTATGCAGTCATAAAAAGGAATAAGATCATGTCCTTTGCATGGACATGGATGGGGCTTTAAGCCATTATCCTCAGCAAACTAACACAGGAACAGAAAACCAAACAAACACTGAATGTTCTCACTTACAAGTGGGAGCTGAACAATGAGAACACATGGACACAGGGAGGGGAACAACACACACTGGGGCCTGTCAGCAGGGCGAGGGCAAAGAGAGCATCAGGATAAATAGCTAATGCATGTGGGGCTTAATACCTAGGTGATGGTTTGATAGGTGCAGCAAACCACTATGGCACACATTTACCTGTGTGACAAACGTGCACATCCTGCACTTGCATCCTAGAACTTAAAATACAATGAAATATTTAAATAATAAAAAAATAAAGGCTAATGTGCCATGGACAGTGTTAATATCTGTACATAATTATCTAACTTAATTCTTCCAAAACACTAAGAATTACCTTAATAGTATTATCTCTGTTATATACACTAAGTACATTGAAATGTGGAAGGGTAGTAATTAAGAGATTATGTGTAAGAACTAAGATCTGAACTCAGGTCTGTATGATTAAGATTGTGATCTTATCATTTAAACTGAAGGTGTTGGTATCACCTTAAAGTTGAGTTGAGAAAACTGAACTTTAAGAAGATGGCATAAATAGGCCAAAGTCACACACATTAAAAACTGTGTAAGGTAGAATTAAATTCAATCCCATCTGACTTGCAAAGCTTAACATCAGGAATATGGAAAGCCTTTAATATGTTAATATAAATTGTGGAGCTCCAGGAAGGTGCTAAAATATGCAGTATATTATAAACATTTTGATGATGGAACTTTTTAAAACCTTATACCTATTAACACCTCTGGGAATAATATGTATACACGTATCCATACACACATGGACACATATATAAAATTAGTTGGCCAGGCGCGATGGCTCACGCCTGTAATCCCAGCATTTCGGGAGGCCGAGGCGGGCGGATCATAGGGTCAGGCGATCGAGAACATCCTGGCTAACACGGTGAAACCCCATCTCTACTAAAAATACAAAAAATTAGCCAGGTGTGGTGGCTGGCACCTGTAGTCCCAGCTCCTCAGGAAGCTGAGGCAGGAGAATGGCGTGAACCCGGGAGGCGGAGCTTGCAGTGAGCCGAGATCGTGCCACTGCACTCCAGCCTGGGTGACAGAGCGAGAATCCGTCTCAAAAAACAAACAAACAAAAATAGTTTAGTAGACACAGGCACACAGACCAATAGAACAGAATAGAGAACCCAGAAATAAAGCTGCACAGCTACAATCATCTAATCTTCAACAAATTTGACAAAAATAAGCAATGGGGAAAGGACATCCTATTCAATAAATAGTACTGGGATAACTGCCTAGCCACATGCAGAAGAATGAAACTTGGCTCCTACCTCTCGCCATATACAAATTATTAACTCAAGATAGATTAAAGACACAAATATAACACCTAAAACTATAAAATCCTAGAAGAAAACCTAGGAAATACCATTCTGGACATTGACATTGGCAAATAATTTATGACTAAGTCCTCAAAAGCAATTGCAACAACAACAACAACAAAATGACCAATGAGACCTAATAAAGCTAAAGAGTTTCTGCACAACAAAAGAAATTAACAACAGAGCAAACAGCCTAAAGAGTGGGAGAAACTATTCACAGACTATGTTTCTGACAAAGGTCTAATATCTAGAATCTATAAGGAACTTAAACATTGAACAAGCAAAAACCAAATTATCCATCAAAAAGTGGGCAAAGGACATAAACAGATACTTCTGAAGACATATAAGCAGCTAACCAACATATTTAAAATGCTCCACATCAGTAATCATCAGAGAAATGCAAATCAAAACCACAATGAGATACTATCTCACATGAGTCAGAATGGCTGTTATTGAAAAGTCAAAAAAAAAAAAAAACATACTGCTGAGGCTGTGGAGAAAAGGGAACACACCTATACACTGCTGGTGGGAATGTAAGTTAGTTCAACTACTAATGATGTGAGAAGCATCTTTGAGGTTTCTCAAAGAACTCAAAATAGAACTACCATTCAACCTAGGAGTCCCATTACTGGGTATATACCCAAGAACAATAAGTTGTTCTACCAAAAAGGTACATGCACTCGTATGTGAACACAGCACTACTCAATAGTGAAGACATGGAATCAACCTAGGTTCCCATCCATGGTGGCCTGGACAAAGAAAATGTGATACATATACAACATAGAAGACCACACAGCCATGAAAAAGAATAGAATCATGTCCTTTGCAGCAACAAGGATGCAGCTGGAGGGTATTATTCTAAGCATAGGAACAGAAAACCAAACACTGCATATTCTCACTTATAAGTGGGAGTTAAACATTGGGTACACGTGGACACAAAGACAGGAACTATAGAAACTGGGGACTACTAGAAGGGGAAGACAGAGAGTGGGAAATGGTTGAAAAAAATACCTGTTGGGTACTATGCTCAATACCCAATAACAAGATCAAACATATCCCAAACCTCTGAACCATGCAGTGTATCATGTAACAAGCCTGCACATGTACCTCCTGAATATAAAATAAAATTTGAAATCAAAAATAAAATAAAAGATATTTAGGGCATCCTTTACTATGCCACAGTGTCTAAACGTGTTAAAATGCATTTTATTAAGAAAGATTTAGAAAATACATAAAAGTGCAAAGAGTGATGTACTTGCATTCTCCACCAACCATGTGATCAATCTATGTATGTATGCATTTGTCTGTCAGTATATTTATCTTTCTTCAAAATTCATACTGGTAAAACACTGATGAAAGCCCAGTAAGGAAAAAAATTTACCGAAATATTAAAGGATTAGAAAATTTAACTCTTATCTGAGGTGAAAGCAGCACTCTGTCATCATAATCTTCTGGTTTAGAAACAACCAGGGGTGCTCACAAGGCCAGACTGATATAGGTACTTGCTCACAGGCAGAAAGGCTAGAGGGTCTGGGCCTGCTGAATCAGGCATTGGTTGTCTTATTCTGGGTAACATTCTTTTCCTCTTCCATAGTAATAGTCTTTGGTAATCAGTCTTTTTACAAATGATCTTTGTCTTTAATAATTTCCATGAAAATGCCTGACTTATTGCACCAAGCTAAGAGGATTGGCAAATAAACACAGACAGGGCCAATAGTCTTTGAAACTGAATCTTGAGCTCAGGAACAAGGAGAGAAGACAATTGAAACTTATTTTAATGACAACTCCTAAAAACACTCTGTTAATTCCTACTGGCTTGTTTTCTTGAGCCCCTCAAAATTTTTAGTTAGTTTTTATCCCTCCAACTTTTGTTATTTTTTCTTAAGTCAGCCAGCATTGCCTAAATCCAAGAGACTATGTTGCATTAGTTATACTGCATATACTATACTTAATTCTGTAAACTAAATTATTAAAGAAATACTGTCAATAGGATGACTTCTGAAAGTGAGCACAATAATCAAATGACAAGAAACCATTAAAAAAAGAATGTATTATTATTTTTTCACTTTCAGGATAAGACTTGATATAAAAGAGGCTAATTGGCCAGGTCCGGTGGCTTACGCCTGATATCCAGCACTTTGGGAGGCTGAGGCAGGTGGATTGCCTGAAGTCAGGAGTTTGAGACCAGCCTGACCAACATGGAAAAACCTTGTATCTACTAAAAATACAAAATTAGCCGGGCCTTGTGGCGCATGCCTGTTGTCCCAGCTACTCGGGAGGCTGAGGCAGGAGAATCATTTGAACCCGGCAGGCAGAGGTTGCAGTGAGTCAAGATTGTGCCATTGCACTCCATTGCACAACAAGAGTGAAACTCCATCTCAAAAAAAAAAAAAAAAAAGAGACCAATCAGGACTACATCAACCACAGAAATTCAAAACTCAAATGTGTTACTGTTTGAGGCAGTCAATTTCTTGTCTATGATTGTATTCAGTGGGCCTAGATGATTGTTAAAACTCTCTTCTGCTCATATAATAATCCTTAAAAATAAATTATTGTCATTGCATTATTATTATTATTATTATTATTATTATTTTGAGATGGAGTTTCACTCTTGTTGCCCAGGCTGGAATGCAATGGCGTGATCTTGGCTCACTGCAACCTCTACCTCCTGTGTTCAAGCTCTGCTCGTGCCTAGCCTCCAGAGTAGCTGGGATTAGAGGGACGCACCACCGCACCCAGCTAATTTTTGTACTTTTAGTAGAGACGGGGTTTCACCATGTTGGCCAGGATTATCTCTATCTCCTGACCTTGTGATCCCCTTCCTCAGCCTCCCAAAGTCCTGTGATTACAGGTGTAAGCCACCGCACCCGGCCATCATTGAGTTATTTTTAAAAAACAAATCATCAGTAGCTATGACTCTCTTTCATATGACATGCGAAGTGTTCAACAACTCTGTTCCAAAGGGGCTTTTTCCTAGAATGATTATATGGAATATCAGATAATTTACAACTTAAATCTTCCACTTCCATAATTTTAGATCAGAAATTTGGGAAGGCTAAATTATGACTTCTATCTGAGGGCACTAAGAAGGCAAAAAGAAAGAGTCCATTATTTTATATGATGTTGGGAATAATGTAAAGACATCTTATTGGTGGACAGGAATACATTGGTATGTATTTGCAAAGCCTGAGTACTAGTAACAGTACTTTCCATTCCATTTGTATTGCAGTTTTAATGGGTAGAGTCTCTTTGGATTTTAAGCAATTAAGAAAGAAAATTAACATTTCAATTAGTACAAAGAAAAAAATAACGGGAAGGAGTAAATTACTTGACATTTGAGAAAATAGCTAGAATGCCAAGCATATATTTGTAAGAAGCACCATTATTTTGTCTTAAGAAAATGTCTTAAGCAACTATAATTCAATTTAAAAGGTTTTTCTCAAAGGTGCATGTGTCCCAGAAAGACCTTATGGAGCATTCAGTCTATATTGATTGAGATATAAAACAGGAGGATTCCAACTGTGTCATGAAAATAATTTCATTGTGTACATTGTGTACATTGTTAAGGCAAAGATAAGAAACAAAGGGTTGTTGATGGATGAAGCAAAGGTAGAAAAGAGACAGGAAAATCACCGAGGAGATTGTAAAGTTTCTGGATAGAATAGTGAAAATTAATGGAAACTAAAATAACAGAATGGCTGTAGAAAATATTAAAGAGAAGAATCTGAACACTGTTCATTGGAATTCTCAAGACAGTTAATGGGCTGCATGAAAGGTGAAACAGGTGACATATCAAGTGAGCCAACATAAAGTGAGCAAAGGCAAGAATGTAATTATTATTCACTAGGATCCCAGAGAAGCCTAAGTGTAACTGGAGCTTGAACAATGCTTTTCTAAGTAGAATATCAATTCAATTATATTAGTGCAGCTGCATAGATGATTTCTCAAGTGACCTTTACCCACAATTCAAACACTATGTTCTAATGACTGATTATTTGATATGCAAAGTATCTCATGTGGTGTGTGATAAATAGAAGATTACCATTCCTGGCCATTGTCACCTTTACAAATCTGATGCCCACAAATACTAAAACCCATTATAAAAGGTATCTATGTTACAGAGAATTAAGGGACCTCAGATATTCTTATTATGTTCTATTAATTTGGGAAGGGGAAATATTAAGGGCATCAATAATTAATATTTAAGGGGACAAACAAGCTGTATATTCACATCAGGAGACCACAGAGTGAAGAGTGATAAGTACTATTTGGGGCATGGAGGGATTCTTTTTTAAAAAGGAGACTGTGAACTTTGAATGCTGTATACTACCTGGTCTGAAATGACGATATGAAGAATAATCCCAGAAAATATTCCCTGGTTAAAGACCTGAAGGTATGGAAGTGCAGGGGTGCTCTGGAAACAATGTTTAGTTTGCTTTCATGACCATTTGATTTAAGGAAGGGCTATGACTTGAGAGGAGCCAAGAAGGTGGGTCATAGTCACTTGTTAAAAGCCTTATTTGATGTTAAGGAATTTGCATATTGTCTTTTAGGCAATGAAAAACTATTGAAGTTTTGTTATTATTATTATTTTTCTACTGCTACTATATCACCATTCACTGAACACCTACTATTATACTAAGATGTATGGATACAACCATGAACCAGAAACAAAATGTATCATTAGTCTTGTACTATAAAACGAGAGACAGACAATTTAAAAAACATGCATGAATATGAGACAATTGCAATTTGAGATTCATGCCATGGGTAACACAACAGAAAAAATTATGAGAGGTCCTTGAATGCATATTGGTATTGACATTATGGATACCAATATGGTTGGCAAAAGTAGTGTGTCCTGAACTGTGCACATAAATTCAATGAGATAGGCGAGGATTATATGGCATCTTTGGAAGACTTTGTAGTTGTGTGGCTGTCCTCCATGAACAAATAGAAACAAGAGCTGGGAAATTTATGTCATAACTTTTTGAATGATCCTGGTTACCAGGAATAAGATCTGGAATATACTTGGGTTATACATACATCAAATAATGCAAGAAACCAGTACTTTATTTTGTCTTTAAGGTTTCTGAGAATTAAACTACCAAACACTTGTTTTGTATCTTTAGTCAGATTAAAAAGATCCAGATGATGTTCTCTTACTTTAAAGCTGGAGTATTTTTATTAAGTCAGTTAAAGCTTGTATGTAATTCATAAAAATAATATGAACATTTTAAATAAAGCCAATCAAAATCTATACGAAAGTTTTACTGATAGCTTGATATTGTTCTCACTTTAATTTTGGAAACATGTTCATCCAGCTATATTTAGGGGAGAAACTCAATTTTTCCTTGGGAAAAGATTCAGGATCTTTCTTTCTCTTGGTGATAAAAAGGACACCTGTGTCAACTTTTTAGTTAAGGGTCGTATGAGTTATCATAATTAGCCTTAGAGTAACTAATGTGATAGTGTGCTTTCTTTAACAAACTTTGACCTGAAGAAAGTTGTTTCCCTTAATGTACTTAAAGTTCGTAATGGTTTACTTTAAGGCCACAGTTTTTATTCCTTATGATGTCTCTAAGCAAGCATATCTACAGTAATGCAAGTTTAAAATGACTTGATGCCAGATGAAGACTATTTAAATGATTTAAATTGTACCTTAAATTATTTACTATGTCATATTACCCAGTTTATATTAATGTCAACTTATTTAATTATATGAAAATCACATTTTTTCCAGAAAATATAAATGAACAAAAATTCTCTCCTTGCATATGAAAGTGCAAAAAAAAAAAATGGGAGCTTCATTGTGAATTTAACTGATTACTCTTAAAATTTCTACCTCAGCATAAAGGCCGAAAACTATATGCAGCCAGATATGTTCCAAGGTGAATAAAAAGCATAAATGAAAAGCATTAAATTTTTTCAGTCATTTTAATATTGAGGTGTCTCAAAAAATCATGTTCTGCAAGATTTATTATGAGCAATAGAAAGTTGGTATACAACATTGGTTGAACAAATCACACAAATACATGTATACAAAGTCGAAACAGATTCTGGAGACTTATTTGCTTAATACATAGTCATCAGATTTCATAGAATGCTGCTTTCATTTTAAAATGTCATAGAGGTTGTTTGCAAATAAGAGTACATTTTCTATTTGCAATATGTCCACACATGCTTATTCAAATATTAGCATTTCAAATATGAATTTGATTAAGAGCTTGATCAGCCTTTCATTTATGCTTATATAGCTAAATTGATTTTTAAAGCTTATAAGACACAAAAATTATTAAAATTATTAAAATTTATTTTAATAACTAAAAATAAATTTAATTATTTTAAAAGTATTAAAATTTCTTTGTTTTGATGAGCATATTTGATTCCAATCCAAAGAATCTAAGCTTTTAATAAGAAAGTTTCCATTTATTCTATAAAACACAGGAATATTAATAGAAAAAATATTTGACTACTAACATATAAGTGTTGGCACGAGTCCTAGGATATCAAGTCAATGGATATTAGGTTGAAGACAAAGCCTAATCTAAACCAAAACTTCTAGATATAAATTCAGTGGTTTATTAAAACCTATTCATTTTCATTCATTGAGAAGAAAGTAAGTTGTTGAAAAAAATCAGAGTATAAAGGTAGAAAAAGAGGAAGCAATGAAAATTAAAATCGTTGCTTTATGTTAACATTCATATATTACATCAGTATAAACAGAAAGTGAAAACAAATAAATATAAAAATGAAAAAATATGCAAGCTTCTGATTAGGGTTTCATTGTTGAAAATAAAAATTAAGCTATGTTTTAACAGTTTTCACGTTTTGGTACCCTCTCTTTTATGAAGATGTCTTTTATGGAAAAAAAACATAAGCTTAATTATTGAAAATTTACAGCCCTATATAGTTTTCAAGATGTTTGGAATACATATAGCTTAATTTAACTTTTTATTTTGATATAATCCTAACAGAAAAGATACAGGAATAATGTAGGAAATCCTCAGGTACCTCTTATTAGATTCATAATCTATTGTCACATTTTGACCCATTTGCATATATATGCATTTATATTTAGAGAGAGACAGACGATTTTTTCCTGAACATGTGAGAAAAGTTTGGAGATATTGTATCTTTTTGCTACTAAATGTTTCAGTATGTACTATTTTATGGAAAATGGCAGGATATTTTCTCACATGTCCACAGTATAATAAAATCAGAAAATTTTAGCATTAATATATTTCCATGGTATACCCACATATCATAATCAAATTTATCAAGTGTATCAATTACGTATTTTATAGTAACTTTATTTTTCCTGGTCCAAGAACCAATCTAGAACTGCACTTGGTTGTTATATTTGTTTAGCCTTCTTTAACCTGAAATAGTATCTTAGCCTTTCCTAAGTTTCTTGGCCTTGCAATTTTTGAAATGTAGAAACCAGACATTTAGAAAATATTTTTACTAAATTGGGCCTTTGTCCTATAATTAGATTCAAGTCAAGCATTTTTGGAAGGCGTGCCATTAAGTTAAAGGTGGATCCTTCTCAGTACATTATATCTATTATATCTGAGGCACATGATGTTGAAATGTTTCAATATCGGTTAACTTTGGTAACTTTGCTTAAGATTGTGTCTGTCAGGTTTTTTCAATGTAAAGATACAGTTTTCCACTTTGTAATTAATCATAATATTTGAGGTAATGTGTTGAGACTGTGAAACTATCCTGTTTCTCATTACATTTTTCCTCAGTTTTAGCTTCCATTGATGATTTCCTATTGTCATCATTCTTCCTATATTTATCAGGTGTCATTCAACTTCTGTTATAATTTATTAGTCCTTTTATCTCAAATTTCTTTATTCATGAAGTTTGTTATACCCAGTGAGTTAAGATCATCTACTATATCATTAAGTGTTTTAGTGATCAAATATTCTCATATTTGGCCAGTATGAACCCCTTTAATCTATCTCATCATATGTTCCTTTGTTATTTCCCTTTGGTTACTTTCTGAACCATCTTGTACTTTCCATTAATTTGAAAATTAGACTTTGTTCCAAGGAGCATACTTTCTGGAATGTATTTCTGGTTCCTTTTTCCAGGGACAAGAAAGACCAGGTGCCTTGCTGGAAAAAACTAGATCCTGCTGACCATAGCATTATTTTGGTGAGTGAGTTGGCCATAAGGTCTTTGTTATTTTGTTATACATGTATCCCAAGCCCCCTCTTCATCAGGGAAAAGCTAGAAGAAAGAAAAAGGAAAAATGAAAATCCTGTCATGCCACTCTATCCTTTTATTGAAATTCCTTAGCTTTTACAAAGAAAAAAAATTCTCATTTTCTGTTAGGGAGGGAAAGAACTATGCTACCTTAAACACCACGAACCACACACGGGCTTACAGAGTTCAAACCAGTCTATAAATG
The DNA here is from genome assembly GCF_000001405.40 of Homo sapiens. Taxonomy (NCBI): domain Eukaryota; kingdom Metazoa; phylum Chordata; class Mammalia; order Primates; family Hominidae; genus Homo; species Homo sapiens. The sequence goes on from NC_000002.12 coordinate 187,782,770, forward strand.
CACTGGAATTTGCTCCTCAGTTTAATCTCAAATGGGGTGAACTTGTTCCTGTATATCTTTGTCAAATACCCTAAAACAGAGGCCAAAGAGAAAATCATGCTCCCTCAGAAACACAGAAATGGAAAGAAAACCAAGAACATTTTTTTCTATTTTATGCATGCAGCTTTATGTTTAACCTGTATGCTGCCTCTTACATTCTGGTCAGAGATATCTCAGCATATTGAATGAAGTTCAAATATCTTGGGCTGAGATAAAAAGAATTCCTAGATTTTTAAATTTTTTTTCATTATTTCCCATGACAGTATACTCTCAAAATCTCCTCCTGGATCAGAGTTGGAGCTGGGGGTTGGCAGTCATTTCTCTCACAGTATCTTTTTTAGCATTCAGGGCCCAAATAGGACGTGCCAGGGAGAAACAAGTGAAATGTTTCCTACAAAAACTAAAATCGTTTCATAAGCTGTCCAGAATTGAACTTGATGCACAAAAATAGCATTACTTTTGGGGGTCTGAATCCGTTCTAAATAGGCTTCTGATGGTCAATGATTTCACTAAACAAAATTGAAACTGCATCACATTTTGTAACACTTGTTCCCTCTGCAAATTTTGTGTCATCAGACATTGGTATCTAGTTTTATTTTTGAGGTTGTATTCATTTCATTCACAATCAATTAACTATTCATGTTTTTCCTTCACTAGAGAACCAGATTCAGAATTTCTCACTAACCCTGGAGCTATGCCTTTTCCTTCACTACTGACTGTAGCTCCAAATTTTCCCACTAAACTCTATATCAATCTTCATTGGCCATTTGTTTCCACCATGCTGGATTCCTTCTGAGATGGTATTTCTAATTCCAGGATGGCCCCTACTGGCTTTATTCACTCTGTGCACCATTTTTCCTGTAGTTTAGGGAGCATGGTGTTATGTTCCTGGCCTGGTATGGTTTGTCATGATTCATACAAGGTCAGACATCACATCACATATTGACAAAAATTTTCCTCACATTTAACTCATAATATATGTTCTTGTACTGTCTAGCAAATGCACAGAAATAAATATTATTCGATGACTGTAAACTCACAATGAGTTAGAAGGGTACTGCAAAAATATTCTCTTACTGTCCCCACTAATTATCTATCTTACTACACTGAGGCCAGGCCAGATAGCATCTCAAAATATTTTCTTTTACACTCTAACCTCTTCCTTTGCTACTTCTTTTAACCATTCCTTTTATCTTTTGCTCTCTCTGCACCCCTCTTCAGGGTCCCAGATGCAGCCTAGATTTTTTCATATTCTGGGCCTCCTCTTTGACTCTAGAATTAGCAGCAGTGGCTTCTCCATATTGAAGAATATATTAGGTCTTCAATTTTTTTTATTATCCTCCAATAGTTTATTGAGGTACAGGTGGTATTTGGTTACATGGGTAAGTTCTTTAGTGGTGATTTGTGAGATTTTGGTGCACCCATCACCTGAGCAGTATTTGCTGCAACCTATTTGTAGTCTTTTATCCCTTGCCCCTTTCCCATCCTTCCCCTTAAGTCCCCAAAGTCCATTGCGTCATTGCATCATTCTTATGCTTTTGTGTCCTCATAGCTTAGCTCCCAGACATCAGTGAGAGCATACAATGTTTCGTTTTCCATTCCTGAGTTACTTCACTTAGAATAATAGTCTCCAATCTCATCCAGGTCACTGCAAATGCCATTAATTCATTCATTTTTACGATTGAGTGGTATTCCATCATAAATATATATATATAATATATATATATAGATATATATGGTATGTGTATTGGTGTGTGTGTGTGTGTGTATATATATATATATATATATAAAATCACAATTTCTTTATACACTTCTTGACTGATGGGCATGTGGGTTGGTTCCACAATTTTGCAATTGAAAATTGTGCTGCGATAAATATGTATGTGCAAATATCTTTCTTGTATAATGACTTCTTTTCCTCTGAGTAGATACCTAGTAGTAGGATTGCTGGATCACTTTTTCAGACTAAAAAAAACACGAGAAAAACAAAATTGACTGACCCTAATAAAATAATTTTGATGCTAGAATGAAAACCAAAGCCCAGGCTATAACCTATAATGCTCTATGCAATCTGGACCCAACTTGACCCTCCTTTCTAGCTTTTCTCTTTTTTTTTTTTTTTTTTTTTTTGAGACGGAGTCTCGCTCTGTCGCCCAGGCTGGAGTGCGGTGGCGGGATCTCGGCTCACTGCAAGCTCCGCCTCCCGGGTTCACGCCATTCTCCTGCCTCAGCCTCCCAAGTAGCTGGGACTACAGGCGCCCGCCACTACGCCCGGCTAATTTTTTTGTATTTTTAGTAGAGACGGGGTTTCACCGTTTTAGCCGGGATGGTCTCGATCTCCTGACCTCGTGATCCGCCCGCCTCGGCCTCCCAAAGTGCTGGGATTACAGGCGTGAGCCACCGCGCCCGGCCCCTTTTCTCTTTTTTATGCTGTCTGACCTTACTATTTCTCAAATGCACCAAAAATATCTTTGTCTCAGGAACTTTGTTTGTGTTTCCCTCCCTGGTATGTACTTTCTTTTGGCTCTCTCTCTTGGTTCATTCATATCTCTGTTAAATATTATTTCAGCTCAAAGTCCTTCCCTGATTAATACATACAAAAGAGCTGCTGCCTCTGACCAGCTCCATTTTTAATACTGTCCATTTGTTCTTTGTTTGAATGAATAAACATATATGCCATAATTTTTTTTTCTTTTTATTGTGTCATACTAAAGAATTGTTCCTTGCCTAGAAGAGAAAAAAAGTAAGGAGGAATCAAATACTCCTTTACATGCATATAAGAATATATCTGAGTAAGCAATAGCAAGAGAAATCACAAAGCGTTTTGAGAGGAAGAAAGGGGGGGTATGATGTGAGTTGGGTTGCTAGCAAAGGCTTTTAGAAGAAATTTAAATGAGACTTGAAAGTTGAGAAGAAGCCAATTAAAGATTTTCAGGCAGAAGGAATAGCATGTATAAAAATGTTTCAGCCAAACATACAGTTTCTAGAAGAGAAAATATATATCAAAGCAGAAATAAATGGATTTGAAATGATGAAAGTAATACAAAAGATCAACTGAACAAAAAGGTGTTTTTTTCAAAATATAAACAAAATTGACAAACCTTTAGCTAGACTAACTAAAAAACAAAGAAAGAATGCCCAAATAAAATCAGAGATGAAAAAGGAAACATTAAAACTGATACCACAGAAGTTCAGAAGGTCATTAATATGAGCAACTATATGCCAATAAATTGGAAAATCTAGAAGAAATGTATAAATTCCTAGACACATACAAACTAGCTACAAGACTGAGCCATGAATAAATCCATAACCTGAACAGGTCAATAACAAGTAACAAGATTGAAGTTATAATAAAAAGTCTCCCAACAAAGAAAAGACTGGGACCAATGCCTTCACTGCTGAATTCTACCAAACAACTAAAGAAGAACAAATACCAATCCTACTCAAACTATTCCAAAAAATAGAATAGGAGGGAATACCTTCAAACTCATTCTTCAAGGCCAGTATTATCCTCATACCAAAACCAGATACATCAAAAAAAAGAAAACAATAGGCCAATATCACTGACAAATATTGATGCAAGAAAATCCTTAACAAAATAATAGGAAACTGAATTCAACAACACATAAAAAATGTCATTCATCGTGACAAAATGAGATTTACCACAGGGAAGCAAGGATGTTTCAACATCTGCAAATTAATCAATGTGTGATACATCATATCAACAGACTGAAGAACAAAGACAATATGGTCATTTCAACTGATTCTGAAAAATCATTTGACAAAATTCAACATCTCTTTATGATAAAAACCCTCAAAAAACTGGGTATAGGAGGAACCATAATAAAAAGCATAATAAAAGCCATATATGATACATGCATAGCTAGTGACTGAATAGGGGAAAAATTGAAAGCCTTTCCTCTAACATCAGCAACACAAGGATGCCCGCTTTCACCACTGTTATTCAATATAGTACTGAAAGTCTTAGCTAGAGCTGTCAGATAAGAGAAAGAAATAAAGAGCATCCAAATTGGAAAGGAAGTAAAATTATCCTTGTTTGCAGACAAAATGATCTTGTATTTGGAAATACCTAAAGACTCCATAAAAAAGCTCTTAGAATGGATGAACAAATTTCCAAAATCAACATACAAAAGTGAGTAGCATTTCTATATATCAACAGCAAACAAACCAAAAAAGGAATCAAGAAAGTCATCCCATTTACATAGATACAAATTAAATAAAATACCTAGGAATTAACTAAACAGGTGAAAGATGTCTGCAAAAAAGTATAAGACATTGATGAAAAAAATTGAAAAAGACATCAAAACTGGAAAGATACTCCATGTTCAATATTATTAAAGTATCCATACTCTACCCAAAGCAATCTATAGATTTTATACAATCCCTATCAAAATGCCAATGACATTCTTCACAGAAATAGACAAAAAATCCTAATATGGAACCACAAAATACAAAGAATACCCAAAGCTATCCTAAGCAAAAACAACAAAACTGGGGGAATCATATAACCTGACTTCAAATTATACTACGGAACTATAGTAAGCAAAACAGCATGGTACTGGCATAAAAACAGACACACAGATCAGTGGAACAAAATAGAGAACCCAGAGATAAATCTTTACATGAACTCATTTTTGACAAAGGAGCCAATAATATGCATAGGAAAAATGGCAGTCTCTTTAATAATTGATGCTTAGAAAACTGAAAATCCACATGCAAATAAAAAAAATGAAAGTAGACCCTGTCTCTCATCATATAAAATATTAAATCAAAATGGGTTAAAGATTTAAATCTAAGATCTCAAACTATTAAACTACTGCAAGAAAACATTGGGGAAACACTCCAGGATATTGGACTGGGCAAAGATTTCTTGAGTGATAACTCACAAGTACCACAAGTACAAGTAACAAAAGGAAAAAAGGTGGACAAATGGGATCACATCAAGTTAAAAAGCTTCTGCATAGCAAAGAAAACAATCAACAATGTGAAAAGACAACCCACAGAATATGAGAAAATATTTGCAAACTACCCATCTGACAAGAGTTTAGCAACCAGAATATATAAGGAATCAAACAACTTTGCAGAAAAAAAAAATCTAAAAATTTGATTCAAAAAAATGGGCAAAAGACCTAAACAGACATTTCTGAAAAGAAGACATACAAATGGCAAACAGGTATATGAAAAGGTGCTCAGTATAATTGATCATCAAAGACATGCAAATGAAAACTATAATCAGACATAATCTCGCCCCAGTTAAAATGACTTTTATCCAAAAGAAAAAAGATAACGAATGCTGAAGAGGATGTGGAAAAAATGAAAACTCTTGTACAATGTTAGTGGGAATGTAAATTAGTAGAACTACTATGGAGAACAGTTTGGAGGTTCCTCAAAAAAGCTAAACATAGAGCTACCATATAATCCAGAAATCCCACCTCTAGGTATATATCCAAAAGAAAGGAAATCTGTATATTGAAGAGATACCTGCACGCCTATGTTTGTTGTAGCACTGTTCACAGTAGCCAAGATTTGGAAGCAACCTGTGGCCATCAACAGATGGATGGATAAAGGAAACACTGTATACACGATGAAGTACTATTCAGCCATGAAATACGAGATCAAAAATCATTTGACCAAATTCAACATTTACAACAACATAGATGGAACTGAAGGTCATTGTGTGAAGTGAAATAAGCCAGGCACAGAAAACAAATTTTACATGTTTTCACTTATTTATGGGAGCTAAAAATTAAAATAATTGCACTCATGGAGACAGAGAGTAGAGGGATAGTTACCAAAGGCTGGGAAGGGTAGTCAGGGAAGGTGGGGTGGAGGGGAGTGGGGATTTTTAATGGGTACAAAAAAATAGTTAGAAAGAATGAATAAGACCTAATATTTGCTACCACAACAGGGTAACTATAGTCAAAAATAATTTAATTGTACATTTAAAAATAACTAAAAGGATATAATTGGTTTGTTTGGATTAATGTGTGGGGTAATGGTTACCCCATGTGCTCTGATGTGATTATTACATATTGCATACCTGTATAAAAATATTTTATATAACCCATAAATATATACACTTACTATGTGCACACAAAAATTAAAAAGAAAAAAAGTTAAAGACCCAAGATCCTCTTGTGAATGATACACAATCAATATGGGGAGAGTGGCGTAGGAAGAGATGGGAGAGGCAGGTTGGGTCTCGAACACAAGGTGTCTGCTGGACCACGTGTGGAAGCATGGCTATTACTTTTAAGTGGAAAGGGAAGCCATTTGATGGTTTTAAGCAAGAGGGCAACAAAACATTTTGTGCTTTAAAATTATCATATTGGTTGCCGTGTGGAAAATGAAATTGATAGTGGTAAGATAGAGATGAAAACAGGAGGGTATTGCAGCCCTCCAGATGAAAAGCATTGGTAATATCCATCAGAAGTGAAAGACAGAAGTAGATGGCACAGGTTTTTGTGAAATAGCATAAAAACAACCGAGATTGGATAGATTAGAGGTGAGGGTAAGGGAGAGTCACAGGTTCCTCAGGACTGACATGTGACTGAGTGAATGCTGGTGCTATTAAATAATTTGGAAATGTCCGTGAGGAAAAGAAGCTACTATGAAAGGGAATTGGGAAGGGGTGAAATTAGTAGTTCAGCATAGTTGTATTAGGTATGAAATATCTTAGAGACAGCCAAGTGAAGATTTGGAAAAGACAATTGATACACAAATATAGAGCTTGAAAGAGAGGTTTAAGCTTAATGAGAGAAAATTGGGAGTGTTTATCCTGTTATACCTTCCCATTAAAACAATATATCTTCTAAACATAATATAATAAAGCATAATATAAACATACATATTATTCTATCTCCTTCCAATAAGGTGCCATATGTTGATTATAGTATAGAAGAAAAAGACAAATAGTTATAGACTATTTTTAAAACACCATGACAGTTGATTTGCTTTTTCTTTTTTGTTCTTTTGTCAATAATGCAATACATTTAATTATTTACATTTAACCCAGGAGAACTGAGGTTTAAAGAGGTTAATTAAATTGCTACAAGATCAATCAGCTTATAAGAGAGAGAACCAGGATTCAATCTTAGTTTTTTGTTAAGCCCATACTTTTTCTACACCAACTGTGACATACATAAACACATATTTATTTGTTTTTTTACTTAATGAGATCTAAAAAATGAAATCGGATAACTTGAGGCCAGGAGTTCGAGACCAGCCTGGGCAACATTGTGAAACCCTGTCTCTACTAAAAATACAAAATTAGCTGGGTGTGGTGGTGCACCTGTAATCTCAGCTACTCAGGATGCTGAGGCAGGAGAACTGCTTAAGCCAGGAGGCAGAGGTTGCAGTGAGCTGAGATAGCACCACTGTACTCCAGCCCGGGTGATAGAATAAGACTCTAACAACTCAAAAAAAAAAAAAAAGGAAAGAAAGAAATGGTGCTATGAGTTAAGCAGTATTTTTATTTAGTTCAAATCAATCATGAATATTTTTTAAAAGTTCTATTTTGCCTATAATTTCAAACAGTCTGGTAATTCAGTTTCATTACCATGGGGAAAAACACAATGAAAGCTGTATCTTGGTAGCCATTAGTTATTTCCAACAAAGAAACTTGGTATTTGGAGGGGGCTTAAGTGATTCCTTAAGGTAAGAATTACGCACTTGATAAAAATTCTGGCACTGTTTATAGTCAGAATTACCTGGAGTACTGGTATTTGCTGTTATTGCTATTTTTGATAAGGGGCAGGGTCAATGAGAAACATTGGGTCCTAAGAGGATTTTTCCAAAAGGCGATAATGCATTTTTTTACAACATGAACAGTTTTATTTCATTAGCTTATATAATTCTATGACATTTGGAAAATAAAGCAATTTTCCTTCACTATCTTTTTCTGAGGATTTTGGAGGAAACAGGATTATGGTATGGGCATACTAGAGATATTTCTTTGTCTTCTTGCTGACACATGGAAATATTTTATTATCTTTCTGAAAATATTACAACAAAATCTAAACATTCTCTTTGATATAGTTTCTAATTTGTGTAACGTAAGGAAGTTCCATTACATCTGAATGTGTAATTCTGCCCTTTCATATTTCAATCAACATCAGGGTCAATAACAATCATAATGTTGGAGGCATTTTAAATACTGAAATTCTTTTTGAAATAAAATGAAATTATTTCATTCTTTCTCACTGTTCTACTAGGATATCATTTTAGAATATTAAAATTTTAGAATTAAAATTACATAAAATATAGTGGCTTCTACATTTTAAAAAAGGAGAGGGAGGAAGATAAAAAAGAAGAGGGAGGAAAAGGAGAGAGAGGAAGATAAAAAGAGCAGGTATTGCTGAGAGATTAAGATAGTCCTTTAAGAGATTTTATGTGTGGTTTTCAACATATTATAATTTAGGACTTTTTTTATTTTAAAGATGATTAAAGTAAGACTCAGAAATATGAAATAATTAGCCCAAGCTAACACAATTAGAGCTGTGCAAGTTTCACACTTTAATTTGGAATAAAACAGTTGTCTAAACTTCCTGAATCACTGAGAAGGACTTGATACACAATTTGCTTTCACCAATTGCTCTTAGAGATCTGTGGAAATCCTCAAATTTGAAAGTGGGAGTGAAGAATATAATGTCTGTGAAATAAAATAATTAGCATCAATGACATTTGAAAAACATAGAATCAGCTATTATTAACCTGATTCTTCATTCAGAGACACTTCAACGTGACTAGTATTTTATTGCTCAATGAACCTTGTATAAACATAACACTATTCATTTCTTCATTGGTATCTATTGGCTTTTTACTTGGGCTTAAAATTGTTACAAAAGCATCTTTTTTGTTCATATTTGCGTGGTATATCTTTGTGCATTACTTCATTTCCAAACACTCTGTATTCATTTGTTAAAATATTTCTTTACTACACAAAGTATGATTATTTATTTGTTAAGTCTGAGAGACGCAGTCTTTTGAGGGGTGGATGTCCTGGGCTAGGATCTCTTGAAGCAGTGCTTGACATGAAATCCTGGTGTAAGTGATTACTGAAGGAAGGCTCTTACGAGAAATCTGTAAAAAAAAAAAAACAAAAAACAAAAAACAAAAAACTTTGGAAAGCGGGTTAGAACTGGGGCAAAGAACTATTCAACTATGTACTTCTATTGATGTCCTACCTCCAGATAAATTAAGTGAGAAACTCAGAATCAGAGTTGTCCAAACTCCAGACCGAGTTAGCTTTTCGTACTATGTATCAGTAAGTTATTTTCTGCAAGCCACCTCTGGGTAAAAGGCATTCGTTTTCATGCCTTTTCTGGTGAATTGATTCCCTTTGATAATAGCACTTTTCCAGACTGAAGCTGTAAGCCATCAGAGGCTTACATTCACTGCAGCTAGGGGTCCAGATACACTGGCAATGGATGGGATGTGGATATGACACCATGACATCTACTAGAGTCTATTGCTTGCACTGCTGAACCCATCTTACTTCTCAAATTAGTTCATTCAATCTGGGCACAGTTTCTCTAGGATTCTTCAGACACACTATCTAGGGGAAGTTTCAAGAGGAGGGTTTTTGGAATCCTTGATCTCAAGGCTCTTGTTAATGCTCAGCCTCTCCCTATTTTACCACCAATTCTAAATTCCTGTTCCTTCCAGGAAAACTTCTGTTGGTGTGGGTGCCTTGTCTGGTGGGATAAAGAAGGCCATCATACCTAAGGTGACTGAATTCCCAATTATTATGTCTGTATCAAGCCATTGTTTTTATCCTTAACCATTTGAAGGTAAAACTGTTAAAGTGAGTACGTAATT